>NC_000001.11:178639132-178942162 GCF_000001405.40 Homo sapiens | reverse complement strand
GGTAAAGTGGCAGGGGTGACCCGGGGGAAACAGGATGGGGAAGGCAAGGGCGTTCCAAGCACGGGAGCAGCACAGGCAAAGGCTCTGAGTCAGGGAGACAATGATGCATGGGGGGGGACCTCCAGCTGTTGCTCATGGTGGGTGGGAGGGTGCAGGGCAAGGGCTGCAAGGCCGGAGCCTGTGAAGGTGGGCAGGATCGGATCACGGAGGGCCTTGGAAGCCATGCAAGTTGCTCCAGTGTGCTCTGGAAATGAGGAGGCCGCTGCGGGTTTTTATTCGTATTTATTTATTTTGGAGGCAGTCTTGCTGTACCGCCCAGGCTGGAGTGAAGTGGTGCGATCTCACTGCAACCTCTGCCTCCCGGGTTCAAGCAATTCTCATGCCTCAATAGCTGAATAGCTGGCATTAGGCATGCACCACCACGCCCAGCTAATTTATTTTTTTTATTTTTAGTAGAAACGGGGTTTCACCGTGTTGCCCTGGCTGGTCTCAAACTCCTGATCTCAGGCAATTCGCCCACCTTGGCCTCCTAAAGTGCGGGGTTTCAGGCATAAGCCACTGCGCCCAGCCCCACTGCAGGTTTTTAACAGGCCCGTGGCAGGAGCGGATGTGGGTTTCAGGGAAGATCACCACGGCTGCAGGGTGCCCGCATGGAGGCGGAGAGCATGCTGAGGAGCCAGCCTAGCCCCATCGGTAGCAAGCAAGGTAGTGGAAACCCAAACTGAGAGGCAGTGGGCGTGGCACCTGTGTGAACAGGAGTCAGGAAATTTAAGTATGAAGGAAGCTGCATGTGGAGACTTAGTAAGTAATTGGATGAATGGGTTTAGGGAAGGTAGGAGGCTGGGATGCCTGTGGGACGTGGGCTGGTGAGAACCTGGTGCTATTTTCAGAACTGGGGATGCAGGAAGAGAGTCAGGTTAGGGAGGGAGATGAAGAGTTCTATTTTGAGTATCCTGAACTTCCTTCCTTTTAAGTGGAAAATAGCATTTCCCCTCCTTTATACTATCAATTTGTTTCGTTGAAATGTCCTTTGCTGCAAAAAATTTTTCAGGACACCCAGAAGAATACATAAGTGAATAAAAATTCTCAATTCTATTACTTGGAGATAGTTAACATATTGGTGACTGTTCTTCCAAATCTTTTTTCTCTGCACGTTAATTCTAAAAAACATAATTAGGGGCCAGGTGTGGTGGCTCACACCTGTAATCCCAGCACTTTGGGAGGCCGAGGCAGGTGGATCACCTGAGGTCAGGAGTTCGAGACCAGCCTGGGCAAAATGGTGAAATGCTGTCTCTACTAAAAATACAAAAATTAGCTGGGCGTGGTGGCGTATGCCTGTAATCCCAGCTAGTAGGGAGGCTGAGGCAGGAGAATTGCTTGAACTCAGGAGGTAGATGTTGCAGTGAGCTGAGATTGTGCCATTTCACTCCAGCCTGGGTGACAAGAGTGAAACTCCATCTCAAAAAACAAACAAAAAACAAAATACATAAATAAGATAGAGTATAACACCTTAAAAAACTTTTGGTGCTCAGGCGTGCCCTAGATCAATATAATCAGAATCGCTGGGGGTTGGGGACCAGGCCTCAGTGTTTTTAAAGCTGTCCAGATGATCGTATGTGCAGTCAGGGTCAAGCACCAGCCCCTTAGAGATGAGGTAGTACAAGGAAGGAGAGCACAGGCAGCATCTGTGTTGATTCCACACTGTTCCTGCCTTCCTCCTGGAGTAGGAAGGATTCCATGCTTTCCTTCAGAAAGAAACCAAAATCTATGCAATAACAAGAGTCATTGACCCTAAGGCATTGCAGACTTCTATCCAATAGAATCAGACCCAGTCATGGTTCAAAGACTTGAGGAAACGGCAGGACTTTTGGATAATCTTCTCAAGCCCAGTGGAGGCTTTGCCTTGGGTGATGGATGGTGAGGAGCCACGTCAGTGGTTGAATCATTGCATTAACACGTCAAGGCTCAGGCTTTCTAGCTGGCCATTGGAACTGAGGATGTCATTAGTCTCTTAGCAAGGTTAACTTTGGGTAATACGAAGAAAAGGGATTATGAACTCTTGGAATCAGCATTCACCTTCTTAGAGAAAGAAAAGAAGGCGAAGACGAAAAAGAGTGCCTCCGATTCACGTTAGAGCTTTGAGTCCAAGAATTGTAAACATGTATAGGCTGCCAAATCTCACTCTAAATATATTCCAATGATCTCATGTTTTCATATGCAGTGGAATAAAAAGAGGCATTTTTATTCATTTTGGATGACAGCATCTTGAGCTTTTATGGGAGTGTTGTAGGAGTATTAGTTTAACCAAGAGCTGCAATCAATATTTCAACCATTCAGAGTCACCACAACAGGCACGTTAGACACTGAATGACAATTATCTTGTCATTGCAAGTTGGACCCTCAAACGTGTTCCCAAATATTGATGGCAAATCCCCCACCCCCAGGGGGAAAATCCCCCATCAAAGATCCTCTGAGGAGAGCCAAGCGAGGCACTGGAGAGAGCAGTGCACATATTTCGAGGTGATTAACATTTCGGTTTTGGCCTCCTCATCTGCAAGGGCTTCGTCTGTTACTCGTTTTCTCTTTGGCCAAAGAGACCACATCCAGTGTCCCGAAGGAGAAGGCTGGAAATTTTTCGGAAAGCCCTTTTAGGAGAAGCCCAGTGAGAGGGCAAGCAAAGCTTCATTCCTTTTATGGCCAAGATCTCACAGTGTGAGACACAAAAAAGAGAGCAAGAGCAAGAGAGCTGGAGAGCATGTTGTCTCTGTTCCTCTGCTCCCGGGGCTGTGGCGTCCACATGGTCTCCAACCTTGAGCTGAACACAGTTGATACAAAAACCAGGGACCCTTTCAGTGGCCCCTGGGGTGACGGGAGAGTCCAGCACCCCACTTCCCCTCACCCTCGGGGTTAGCCTTCACCCCGCTCTGGCATCTTCGTCCCAGCCCTGCGTGCACATAAATCAAGCAGCAGGGTAGCTCGGAAACATGACGAATACCTTGGCTGGCTCCTGCTTGAAAAGACAAGGGGGGAGAAGAGGGATTCTAAAGTAACCCGGCCTTGACTGGAAACGCAGCCAGAATTTAGTGTTCCTGGAGCTGGCCCCAGCTGCTCAGACAGGAGCTGCCAGGGGAGACTTCCCTGGGGGCAGCCCCAGCCCTCCACGCTCTGGAGGAGGAAAAAGCTTTGGTGTCTGTCAAGAACATTATTCAAAAATTCTTGGACACTTCTAAGCCCTTTCTGTGAGCATGGAGACAGGGGGTTGAGGGAAGCTTTGCCTAGGCTGGGATGGCACTTGGGTATAGCCCCAGGTTTGAGTGCTGCTGTATTCATGGACAGTGCCCCAGAGGTGGGTGTGTGATGCCTGTGTGTGTGTGCATGTGCATGCGTGTGCATGTATGTAGGGGACCGGTGAGGCAAGACAGCCCACTTAAGGACACGGTTTTAAGTACACTGCCAGCTTTCAGTCTGGGGGCCTGTGAATGTTGTGGCTGTTGGCTTCTCCCTTTCTCTGTTTCCCAGTTCCACCAGCTCCCAGTGTCTCTGGTCTCTCCATTCATTCTTTTCAGTGGGTCAGGCCCCTGCTGGAATGACTCTTCAAGAGTCTGCTCTGCCCACCCTGACCAGGGGCTCCCAGTAGGGAAAGCCGAGGGTTCTAGGCGTTGCCCTCCTGCCTCCTCTGTCTGCCAGGACCACTGCAGGGGGCTCCTGAGTGTCCTGGCTCTCCTGTGAGGTGCCACAGAGGCAGGACTGCGTAAGGGACTAGTTCAGCCTTCAAGGAGCTTCAGTCGAGAGATTCTCTTTGTTTTGTTCTTGAGGGTCATGAAGAGATCATTCCAGCTGTCACCGACAAGAGATTCTGGGAGGCACCTGAACACAGTGGAGGGCCACAGAGAGTCTTCTTCCACAGAGAGCTCTGTAGGGATGAGGCCTCAGATGTGACAGGCTCTGAGCACGGGAGTATTAGAGGCTGAGAAGGGCTGCCTCCCTAAAAAACATTAATCGTGTTAAAATATTCACTGCCCTCTCCAAAATCTCAACACTTAAAAGCATTTTTTACGTTTCTTTTCTTTTCTTTTTTTTTTAAAGGAAGAAGCACCGTGGGGACTCTCACTGCAAAGAAGACAGACCATTATCAACACTCCTCCCCTCTGTTCCCCAAAGTCCCCTCCTGACCGCAGCATCAATCTTCCACGCTGGCCGGCCGGTAATTAGCTTTCCTCAGGGCAGGGGCAGATCACCAGCTCAGGCCTCCATCCAGGGGTTTCCTGTCCCCAAAGTTGCACTAATGCAAATCCATTTTTCATTAGGAGAAAATAAAACTCACAAGTGACATCAACTGAAAAATGTTTTTTGAGAGCAAGTTATTTCCATTTAAAGCTAAGCACATGACAGCTGGTGACTTTTAATGGAAAGTAAAATTTGCTGGGCTGAATTACTATCAAACCACTTGAGAATTTGTTTCTAATTTTCCTTTTTGGAGGAAGGCAGTGCTCTGGAGTCCAGCAGAGCAGATGAGGAATGGAAAGGTCTGGTCTCATCTCTAATTGCGGCCTCAAAAGACCCTGGACAATCCTCAGTAAAATCATGTCCCAAGATTTAGTTACATTAATTTTCTTTACTCTGTACTTGAAACTCATTTAATAAGCTGGTTAGAAAACAAACTTTCTGTACCACCTTTTGTTTGGGCCCCCAAAACCAAAATGGTTGTATGTGTACTGAAAACTATCTACGGTTGGCCAGGCGCGGTGGCTCACGCCTGTAATCCCAGCACTTTGGGAGGCCGAGGCGGGTGGATCATGAGGTCAGGAGATCGAGACCATCCTGGCTAACAAGGTGAAACCCCGTCTCTACTAAAAATACAAAAAATTAGCCAGGCGCGGTGGCGGGCGCCTGTAGTCCCAGCTACTCGGGAGGCTGAGGCAGGAGAATGGCGTGAACCCGGGAAGCAGAGCTTGCAGTGAGCCGAGATTGCGCCACTGCAGTCCGCAGTCCGGCCTGGGCGACAGAGCGAGACTCCGTCTCAAAAAAAAAAAAAAAAAAAAAAAAAGAAAACTATCTACAGTTTCTCCACTTAATAGAAAATATCTGGTATAGCAGAACCTGGTGGGCATTTGCTATGGACTGAATGTGCCCCTGCCATTCATATACTGAAGCCCTAACCCCCAGTGTGATGGTATTTATTAGGAGGTGGTGCCTCTGGCAGATTTAAATGAGAGCATGAAGGTGGGACCTCCATTACTGGATTAGTGTCCTTATAAGAAGAGGAAGAGACCAGAGCTCACTCTCCCCACCACGTGAGGATACAGTGAGAAGGTGGCTGTCTGCAAGCCAAGAGCCCTCACCCAAACAGAATCTGCTGGTATCTTGATGTTGGATTTTCTAGCCTCCAGGACTGTGAGAAATAAATGTGTGTTGTTTAAACCACCCAGTCTATGGTATTTTGTTATAGTAGCTAGGGCTGACTACAACTGAAGTAGGCTAGAAGGAACTCTGTTATCATGAGCTCCAGGGATGAGCTGTCTATACACTTGTGCTGCATCAGACATGAAAGAGGAGTGGTGTGAGACTTGCTTTTCTGTGCATCCTGTTTCAGAGCAATATAAATTCAGTTCCTCTTATCTTCCAGAATCTTCTAGCACTTCTGGAATCTATAACATATGTCTGTATGGATAATAGCACCTCTGGAATTTGGGGACAAGGTCAAAGGGTGTCGGGATTTGAAGGGGAAGCCATAAGAATCTTCACAATATAAATTGAGATTAAACACTTGCAGATGCAACCCATCCTTGGGGTGGTTTTGCAAACATATTGCTGAGGATTTCATGGTTTGCTACATCAAGATTAGATACCCAAAGTTTATTGGAAGATTAAATTACAAAAAGTAATGACAAGGTAAGTTGTAATAAGTCATGTTATTTGATGAGAAGTAAAGATAATTAAAGGCATGAAAGAGTCTGTAAGGAGCCTAGAAGAAGAGAGGTGAAGAGTAAGAATCTAGCTAGTGTTTCCCCAGGGGTGTCAGGGAATGGCAAAAATGTTCCAGACTGTACCAACGATCTGAGCCACACACTCCTGAAGACTTCTTTTACCCTGATTCCTGTTTAACAAGTAGTTTTCTAAATGCTAATTCAGTTTTTCTGGTACACAGCAGAAAGGGGTCCCCTGCATAGTAATTAGAAAGGTGTGTCTCTGATGGTACATTACTTCAACTGGCATGCTGGTTTTCCCGTCAGTCTACTATGGGAGTTTGGTTGGCAAGAGTCCATTCCTTGAGGCCTGGTCAACGTTGTGTGGGCTGATTACAACATGGGGTTTCTGAAACTTAAAAGTTAAGGGCCCGATCTGGACCCAGGCCTCTACCAAGCCACAGATGACCTTTGAGGCTCCGCTTGATCAGGCAGCCAGCCATGGAACATCATCATGTGGCAACTCCACACCCACAGCTATCATGGCTCCCACTTGCGGACACATTACTTTGTATGTATTTTGTCTTTCTTAAACAACTCCTTGCTCCCATTTCTTCTCCCTCAAATTGTGAGATTTTCTGCTGCAGGGCCTTGTCTCTCCTCTTTCATACATTAAATGTGTAAGATCTTGACCACAGGGACACTCAATATATTGAATGACTTTGTTGGCAAAGATATTTGAAAAGATGATAGGTGCAAATATAATTTATTTATCTTCTTTGGAATCCAGCTGTAAAATACATAGTTAAAATAGAAGCTAAAATGTTCTGTTGTTTGATCTTCAGCTTCTGTCTAAATTGAATTGACTCTCCATCCCATCCTACTTCCTTAGAGACAGACAAGAAACTCCTGTCACCATGCTTTTCTGTACTCTGTCCTACGACTTTGCTTCCATTTAATTTGTCCTCTACTTGTCATTAAGATGTTATTTGGGGCTGATTAGAGTTTGCACCTGTTTCAGTTTATTCCCAATTATATAGTTATAGGTAATCATTATAGCCAGCCACCATTATGGAACTACAAACCTCTCAATCATCCTATTACAGAAAATTTGCTGAATTGGAAAGTCATGGTAACAGGCCAGGCATGGTGGCACACACCTGTAGTCCCTGCACTCGAGTGGCTGAGGCAAGAGGATTACTTGAGCCTAGGAGTTCATGTCTGTAGTAAGCTACAATTGTGCCTGTGAATAGCCATGGCACTCCAGGTGGTGCAACACAGTGAGGCCTCGTCTCCTAAAAAACACATTGAAAAAGGAAACTCATAGGAACAGCAGCAGTAGGCTTACCATGTGGCCTCAGCAGCCCTGGGAGGAGGAGAGTATGCAGGAAATAAGGAGCTTCAGCGAGGGGCACCAAGAGGCAGAATGTTGGTTGCAGTGATGACTAGATGTGTGAGTTTGGGTAAGGCCCTTCAATCAAGACTATTTCCTTACTTACAACAGTGCAGATAACAATCCCTATCTCATAGGACTGGTGTGAGGGTTACATAACATGACACGTGTCAAAGCCACAGCACATTGTCGTTAAATGTCAGTTCCTCCTCTCTTTCTATGTCCAAGACATACAGGGATGGGATGAGGGAGCTCTTGTGTGAAGGCCCTTCCAGTATTCCCAGGACTTGACCTCTATGGAAGGGGTCCAAAAGCATCCTAAATTCCTATCCAGGGGCTCTGCTATAGCTTGGCTCCAAGACATCATGGCATAAACACAAAAAGGAAGAAAAGTCTGTCTGTACAACTTATAGAATAAGAAACTATGAAGTCATGCTTCACTGTCAGAATGAAACAACTTCTGGCTCTTTTGTTAGGAAGTTGCTTATGTCCAACTTACCTGACAAGGAGCCCCAGAGAGAGACCACAGTTCAAACTTGCTTGATTTCACCTTCAGCTGTCTGCTAGTGTCTAACATTTCATAGAGAGAGACGAGAATAGCCACTCTCAATAATGGGTCCCAGCTGACCAAGGGTGCAGAATATTTATGCTGGCGGTTCCCATCTGCTGAGCGGTTACAAGCGCCAGGCCCTGTGCTTTGCATCTTCCACGCATGACCTTATTCAACCTCACAATAAACTTAGGAAGGAGGAGCTTTCTCATGCTGTTTTTGCAGATGAGGAAATACACTTGGGAGGGTAAGTGTGGTGGACAGGAAGAGTTGAGTGATGTGGGCAATTGAACATGGAGGGATAGGGGGCCAGAGTCCCACTCTTCTCCAAGAAGGGTGCCGGGTCATCAGGGAGGGCCAATGCATCCACTGGCAGATCAGTTAATCAGCATTACTAGTCCCAGAGCCTAGCAGAGGGCAGGGCTCCTGGGCACAGGAGACAGAGGAGCCTTCATCCTTCAAAATGCCTCTCAATTGTTTCCTACCTGTGCTCCCACTTTGGGACAGACCCTTGCTCTCTCTCTCCTGGAGAACAGCTGTTTCCTGCCTGGTCTCCCAGCTTCCATTCTCCAATTCCTCCTTCTGGCACTTAAAATCCTGAGCAATTTGGCTCCAACCTACTTTTCCAACTTTATGTGTTGCCACTTCTCAGTGTGAGCTCTTCCCAGCCTCAACTGTATATTTCCAGCTCTTGCTTGCAATTCTTCTCCCCTGGTCCTAAATCCTACCCACCCATGGACTCTCCTCTTCCACGTGGCCTTCCCTGGCCTCTCAGGGCCACAGTGTTTCTCCTGAATACGAAGAACTTTCTTAGTCTAGCATGGGCATCCAGCACATTTATGCAATTCAGGATTGCTTGTGTTAACCACTCTGTTTTGTGTCTGTAGTGAGGCTGTAAAACTCCAGGGACCACATGCAGCACAGTGCAAGGCCTACTGGGAGGCTCTGTCCCGGGAACAGACATTGGAAAAAAAAAAAGGTTATATTTACATGTTGACAGCACATGGATTTCTTCAGCTGAAAACTGTCATTAGCAAGGAAAATTAAAGTAGGAAGCTTGTTCTTTCTTTGAGTTTCATAATAAATCACAAAGTCATTTGCGGAGCTTTTGTGCTGCAGGTTCTGGGCACCAAAACTGCAAGTTACAGCTCTGAAAGCCAGTGTCCACCAGGGCCGAGAATCAGACCAGAGTTTGAATCCTGGCTCCACCTCCTTACTGGGTGACTGTAGGCAAGTTCTTCAACCTCTCCAAATTTTCTGGTTGTAATTCAAGAAGAAGTATCTCTACTATACAGGGTTGTTAAGAAAGAATAAATTAGATAACAATGTATAAAATAAGCTTAGAACCACAACATCAGAACCAATGACTATATGATGAATCAAACTGACTTACTTTCACAAAATGCGTTGGGAACTTAGAATGGTATCGGTAGGAAAGTAGTGAGGACCTGAGGTGGGGTGAACAGGAAAACAGCTGCTCAGTTGCCTTTGCTTAGGATGAGTTTGTGCTCCGGGCGCAGGGATTAGGTGATGAGGAGGTAGTTGCCACTGGACAGGGAAATGTGTTGCTTCTTCCCAGCGACCTCAGGGGACACTCTCCTCACTGACTGTGAGATCCCCTTGGTCAGGGACTGCCTCCCCTTCCCCAGAACCTAGCACAGAGCAGGAGTTCAGCACATACTGGTTTTCATTGAACATTCCCAAGTACTTACTTTCCAAGAATAAAAGAAGCAGTTCTTTCTAGACTTACTTGCTAAGCAAAAAATGGATAATTAAGATGTTGCAAGAAAGTCGCTGGCAAAAGTCCAAGGAGCTGCTTTTCTTAAACCCTGCACGGAGGTGCAGGGGGTGACATATTTTGACAGCTATGACATAGCTCAGGGCAGATGGAAGAACAACAAGTACAAAAGAGAACTTGATTTTGGCTTTGGCCAAAGAGAACTTTTGACTTTGTTTGGCAACTGTTTACTGGATACCATAGTAGCATGCCTTGCCCTAGTGTGGTGTGAGAGCTGCCCCTCAGCCAGTGATGGAGAATGAAAATACTTGAGAGTAAAAGCCTAATTATTTAAAAATACATCAAAACAAAAGCAAAGAGGGAAACAATCTGGCTTCAACGTTTATGAGAGTCCAGAGTCTCTGAAGAAGCTGGTCCTGTTAAGGAATGGAAGACAGGGCCCCAAGGGAGCTGAGGGCGTGGCTGCTTCCCCAGGGCCTGCTGTGGGGGCCAAACTGACCCTGAGAGGCAGTGTGTCAGCTTCACAGCTGACTTGAGAACCAGCGGGGCCCTGGGTCTGGTTTACCACAATAAAGGAACAAAATGTTCCCTTTCTAGCAGAGCCGCTGCTGGTGGGGTTCGGGACAGAGGCGGGTCAGGGCCCTCCGAGATGTAAGGACACTGCTTTGCTTTGCCAGTGAACTCTGGTTTGGTTTGGGGGTATTTCATCTTTAAGGACTGTGAAGGTCCCATTTGTTCCCTGCTTTAATAAAAAATAACACAAGAAATAGGTGTTTCTCTCCCTTATTTTGAGACCACTAATCAATACCATCTGATCATAGTTTTAAAAATTAATAAATTGGGCTACACAAGCAGAAATCTATTTTTTAAGCTATATTATTTCTTACCAGCACATGTAAAATTCTTAAAGGTGGCTGATGTTTTTCCCCCTTTCTTCTTCCTCTTTTTCCCTCCTTCTTTCCTCCCTCCCTCTCCTCTCTTTTTTCTCCTTTCTCTCCTTTTTTCTTCTTCCCTATCTTTCTCCCATTTTTCTTTTTTCTTTCTTAAAAGTCCAGAAGTAAGGCTCTTGTAGGGTTAGTTCAGTAGCACAAGAAAATCATTATGGGGCTAGGTTCTTTCCATCTTTCCCTTCTGTTCTCTGAGGACCAGCTTTGCTCAAGGGCCAGCCTTTATCTTGGTCATAAGATGGGATGCCCAGTTCTAGGCATCACATGACAACACCTGAGTTGGTAAAGAAACATCAGTCAAAAGACTATAGGGGCCGGGTGCGGTGGCCCATGCCTGTCATCCCAGCACTTCGGGAGGCTGAGGCGGGTGGATCATCTGAGCTCAGGAGTTCGAGACCAGCCTGACCAACATGGTGAAACCTCGTCTCTACTAAAAATACAAAAATTAGCCAGGTGTGGTGCTGCATGCCTGTAATCTCAGCTACTCAGGATGCTGAGGCAGAAGAATCACTTGAACCCGGGAGGTGGAGGTTGCAGTGAGCTGCGATCGTGCCATTGCACTCCAGCCTGGTCAACAAGAGTGAAAAAAAAAAAAAAAAAGAAGGCTATAGTGAGTGGTGGGGACTGTAGTGAACTGGAGAGGAAATGGCCCTATTTAACACATTCAAATACAAAACCATTTTTTCTTTTTGTAGTTTCAAAATATTTTGTTATTGTTAGGGAGGGGGAAAGGGAATTATGGATGTTTTCAAATAATCCTTTTGCGAGTAACTACACTGTTGCAAGCAGTCAAAACACTGTTAATGTTCCAATTTTGCAGAAGTCAGCATGGAACTTCAGGGGAGGTTAGGTGATCTGCCCCAGATGGAACTGTTACAGGAAAGGGGTCCTGATCCAGACCCCAAGAGAGGGCCCTTGGATCTTGTGCAATAAAGAATGCAGGGCCAGTCCACAGAGTAAAGTGAAAGCAAGTTTACTAAGAAAGTAGAGGAATAAAGAATGGCTACTCCATAGACAGAGCAGCCCCGAGGGCTGCTGGTTGCCCATTTTTATGGTTATTTCTTGATGATATGCTAAACAAGGGGTGGATTATTCGTTATTCATGCCTCCCCTTTTTAGACCATATAGAGTAACTTCCTAACATTGCCATGGCATTTGTAAGCTCCCATGGCGCTGGTGGGAGTGTAGCAGTGCGGATGACCAAAGGTCACTCTCATGGCCATCTTGCTTTTGGTGGGTCTTGGCTGGCTTCTTTACTACAACCTGTTTTACAAGCAAGGTCTTTATGGCCTGTATCTTGTGCCGACTCCCTATCTCATCCTGTGATTTAGAATGCCTTAACCATCTGGGAATGCAGATGACCAGTAGGTCTCATTTTACCCAGCCCCTACTCAAGATGGAGTTGCTCTGGTTCAAACACCTCTGACAGAATGGGAGTAAAGGCATTGTCAGCCCCAGGCTCTCTCTGCTGCTTCATGGCTGCTCAGAAAACTTGCTGCTGCCCAGGTGTGAGCTCTACCTCCTTTGCAAGATCCTGAGCTTCCTAAGGGTTGGGTGGTGTCTTCTTTTGTGCCCTCCCATCCCCCAACTCATATAATCATGATATCGAAGGGACCCCATTCACATTCACGCAGAGCTCAGGATGGATCCTCTGATGCTTCCCTTTCTAATCCAATTTTTAATTTATGTGTTTTAATAAGTCCTCCAGGGATTCTGTTGCCCTCTAAAGTTTGAGGACCACTGTTCAAAAGTCTCTGTAATGCTTATAGACCAACAATCTAAATATTGGTTCTCAACCTGAGCTAGATATTCAGGTCACCTGGGGGAGCTTTCAAAAATTGTTAATGCCTGGATCCTAGCCTGGCCTCCCACCCACAGATTCTGATAGAATTGGTCTGGTGTGCAGCCTGAGAACTGGGACTTTTAAAAACTCGCTAGGTGATTCTAAATTGCAGCCAAACTTAAGAACCACTGATCTAAATAAAATATGAAGGGAGACAACTGCACTGTAAACAAATGAAAGATTAAGTGGAAATCCAAAAGTGAGATGCACACTGACAAAAAATGAAAAAAAAAAGGCTAACATGAAAGATTAAACTCTAACAATAGAAGTATAAGGGAAGAGAGATTATTTGGTTTAGGCACTACTGGAGGTATTTCTCTTCCATATTTAAAGGAGCCTGGAAAGCTCATGACTGCCTTCAGGAACAGGTGTATGTACTGATGGTTTCTAAATTGCTGTGGATTAGTGTTACTGGAAAAATCCTCTTTACTGCTTCAAAATGCACAGCTCAGTATGTTATGAAACACTCTCATCATTTGATATGTTCTCCTAACTGTCCTTTTCCCTTTTCTGTGAGTTCAGAGAGAGGGAGTGGGTAAAATAAGCTTGTGCTGTAACAGGGAACCTCATGTCACTTTCAAACAATAGTAAGATGTGCCCCTGGGAAAGTCCCATGACTGCAGAAGCCCTCCTGCTACCAGGCAGCTCAAATAACAAAGGGCACTCGGAGACTACTTTAACCAATATGAACACAGAATAAAAGGCTCCTTTTAGAGAAGGAAAAACAGAGAGACAGAAATGAGTTTTCCTTTAAGAGGGGAATCAGTTTTAAGTAAAAGCAAGGAAGCACATAGAATTTGTTACTCAAGTGCAGTACAGTATTTTGATTTGGAATGAGACAGAACTTCATTAACTGTACCCTAGCAAGTTAGTCTAGAATCAGAGGTCTCAATTCAAATTGCACCAGGCCATATTTGGATATTTTCTTAGGCTAATTCAAAGATCCAGGGAGATACAATCACCCTCAAAAGTGTAGTCATTTCTCTTTTAAAATGGAAATACTAACCCCATGCTTTTGTGGTTAAAATTTGTTAAAACATGATTTAGGTTACATAAAGTCATAAAACATGGCTACTAGAAGGCTTAACGGCTGGCAGGGGGTTCATTGATTGCACCTATTGTTAATTGTTCACGAATCTCCAGGTTTTTCTTCTAACTCAATTAAAAAATTTCCACTTTTCACATTAAAATCTCAGAATAGTTTCTGGCAATAAAAATGACGACTTGCTTGTCTGTCTTTCTCCCACAACAGCTTAACACAGATGCCAATGGTTTCTGAAAAGCTTGGGTCTGACAATCAGGCAATAATAAAGCAAATTCAGCAACTGTTACTTCTAGTTTAACTTGGGCTGTGGGCAAATCAGGTGCACATTTTAGTGTGCAGCAGACTCTGGCCTCAGATTCTGATTTGGCTGGTGGGGTGGCATTCAGAAGTCTGCATTTTATACAAGGGCCTCCAGCAATCTAACCCATGTGGCTGAAATACTCCTCTTAATAATCAACAATAGGCTGGGCGCAGTGGCTCATGTGTGTAATCCTGGCACTTTGGAAGGCCAAGGCGGGAGGATCACTTGAGGCCAAGATCAGTCTGGACAACATGGCAACTCCCTGTCTCTATAAAAACAAAACAAAACAAGGCCATTGTGGTGGCTCATGCCTGTACTCCAACACTTTGGGAGGTCAAGGTGGGCGGATCGCTTGAGGCCAGGAGTTTGAGACCAGTCTGGCCAACATGGTGAAACCCTGTCTTTACTAAAAATGCAAAAATTAGCTGGGCATGGTAGTGTGCACCTGTAATCCCAGCTACTCGGGAGGCCGAGGCATGAGAATCTCTTGAACCTGGGAGATGGAGGTTTCAGTGAGCCAAGATAGTGCCACGGCAGTGCAGCCTGGGTGACAGAGCGAGACTCTGTCTCAAAACAAAAACCCAAACCAACCACCCCCCCCCCAAAAACCCCAAACAATAATAAATGCGAATTGTTTCTTTTTTTAGACTCACTCGTCCCAGGCTGGAGTACAAAGGTGCCATCTTGGCTCACTGCAACCTCCGCCTCCCGGGTTCAAGCGATTCTCCTGCTTCAGCCTCCTGAGTAGCTGGGATTACAGGTGCCTGCCACTACACCCAGCTAATTTTTGTATTTTTAGTAGAGATGGGGTTTCACCATGTTGGCCAGGCTGGTCTCAAACTCCCGACCTCAGGTGATCTGCCCACCTCGGCCTCCCAAAGCGCTGGGATTACAGGCGTGAGCCACCGTGCCCGGCCACGGGAATTGTTTTACAGGTGGCTTTTCTTCAGGTTTTCCTCTCCTTGCTAGTTTGTTCATAAGGAATATGCCTGGTTTATTTCTATATTCGATAAACAGGTGAAGACACTCCTTAGTTCACTGTGACTTAATTCATAGGTAACTGCAAAGACCTGACTCTTGTGACTAGTTTTATGACTGTTTTGTAACTGTTCCATGTAAAATTTCCCCTTCATTCCTAATCTCACTCCCAGTGCCTGATTCCAAGAGCAGCTAGTAGGTTACAGTGTAACAATGACACTAATCTACCTCACACTGACGAAGTGTTTCCTATGTGCTAGCCCTGCTCTAGGGCTTGAGATTTATCAGCTAAGTTTAGCCTTACAACAACTCTATGACATGGGTTTTGACACTGTGCACATTTTACTGATGAGGAAATTGAGGGACGAAGTCACCTGCTCCAGGTCCTGCCGCTAGTTAAGTGACAGAGCCAGCGTCTGAACCCAGGCAGTTCAATTCCAGCATCAGAATCCTTATTCCTGTGCTCTATACACATACATGATTTCCCTAATACTGTCCAGATGTTCTCTGGCATGGCCTCATCAGTTTATACCCTCATCTGCTGAGTGCATGAGGATTCCAGTATTCCCCAAACCATAACCGGTATTATCTGGCTATTTTTCACCAATTTGATAAAACATATAGAACATGACAGCTCTCACCTTGCACTTCTCTACTAGTGAGGTTGAGCATTTTTTCATGATTTAGATTTCCCTTTATAAATTGTCTATTCATATCCGTTAGCTCAGTTTTCTCATTTTATTTTGCAAAAATGTCCTGTTATCTTCTTGACATTAATCTTTTGCTCTTATAAACTCCAAAAGTTTTCTTCCAAATTTTCACCAGTCTGTTAACTTTGTCTTGTCCATTGAACAGAAACCCTGTTTTTTGTATTTACAGAAGGGCTTTGAGGGATTTAAGTTCTTTCCCATCCAGGTTCAGAGATTTCCTTTTACTGTCTTTGTAGCTTTAACAATCCAATCAGGTCTTTAAATTTCTCCACATCCTCACCAAACACTTGTTATTTATTTTTTGATAGTAGCCATCCCATTGGGTGGGATGTGGTATCTCACTGTACCCTTGATTTGCATTTCCCTAATTAGTCCTGATATTAAGCATTCTAAAAAATGTATTTATTGGCAATCTTCTTCAGAGAAATGTGTATTCAAGTTCTTTGCCCATTTCTGAATTATTTCTGTTGCTGAGTTTCAGTTCTCTATACATTCTGGATATTAATCCCTTATCAGCTAGATAATTTGCATATGCTTTCTCCCATTCTGTGGGTTGCTTTCTGTTTATATTGTCTATGACACACATCTTAAATTTTCATTAAGTCCAATCTGTTTTTCCCTTTGTTGCCTGTGCCTTTAGTGTCATACCTATAAAGTCACTGCCAAATTCAACGATGTGAAGCTTTTGCCCTATGTTATCTTCAGTAAGACTTACAGGCTTAGGTCTTACATTAAGGTCTTTGATTCATTTTGAGTTAATTTTTGTATACAGTGTTAGGTAAGGATACAACTTCATTCTTTTGCATGTGGAGATACAGTTCCCCAGCGCCATCTGAAAAGACTCCTTTCCTTATGGGTGTCTTGGCACCCTGTCAAAAATCATTTGACCATATATGCGAGGGTTTATTTCTGGGCTCTCTATCCCGTAGGTTTATGTTTTTACGCAAGTACCACAGTACTTTGATTACTGTAGCTTTGTAGTAAGTTTTGAAATCAGGAAATAAGTCTTCTAGCTTTGTTCTTTTTCAAGATGTTTTGGTTATTAGGGGTCCCTTGAGATTCCATATGAATTTTTGAATGGGGTTTTCTATTTCTGTAAAAAACACTACAATAGGGATTGTATTGAATCTATATATTGATTTGAGTAGTACTGACATCTTAACGATATTGTCTTTCAATCCAGGAGCAGGTGATATGTTTCCATTTATTTGCCTTTAATTTTTTTCAGCAACGTTTTATAGTTTTCATTGCACAAATATTTTACCTCCTTGGTTAAGTTAGTTCCTATTTTATTCTTTTTGATGCTTTAGTAAATGGAATTTTGTAATTTTCAGATTGCTCATTGTTAGTATACAGAAATGTGACTTTTATGTTGACTTTGTATCCCGCTACTTTGCTGGATTCATTTACTTGTTCTAATAGTGTGTGTGTGTAATCTTTAGGGTTTTCTACATATACAATCATATCATCTGTGAACAGAGATAATTTTATCTTTCCAATTCTGACTAGAATTTCCAGTACTATGTTCAATAGAAGTGGTGAAAGTGTACATTCTTGCTTTGTTCCTGATCTCAGAGGAAAAGCTTTCAGTCTTTCACCATTCAGTGTATTTGCTGTGGGTTTTCCATATATGGCTTTTCCATATATGGCTTTTATGTTGAGGTAGAGTCTATTAGTTTGTTATTATCATTTTTTTAATCATGAAAGGGTGTTGAATTTTGTCAAATACTTTTTCTGCACCGAGATTTTTTTCCTTCATTCTGTTAATATGGTATATTACATTGATTTTCATGTTGAACCATCCTTGCATTTCAGGAATAAATCCCACTCAGTCATGTTATATAATCCTTGTAATACGCTGCTGAAATTAAAATTATAGTGTTTTGTTGAGGATTTCTGCATAAATTGCTCATAATAGATATTGATCTGTGGTTTTCTTGTAGTGTCTATGTCTGACTTTGGTATCAGGATAATCCTAGCCTCACAGAATAAATTAGGAAGTGTTCCCTCAGCTTTAATTTTTTGGAAAAATTTTAGAAGGATTGGTATTAATTTGTCTTTAATGTTTTATCATTCACCAGTGAAGCCATCAGGTTCACGGTCTTTCTTTTTTGGGAGGTTTCTGATTACTGATCTATAAGCTCCTTACTAGTTATAGGTCTGTTCAGATGTTCTTTGTGATTTTGTGTTGGTAGGTTTCGAGTTTCCAGAAATTTGTCCATTTTCTAGGTTATTCAATTTGTTGGCATATATTTGTTCAAAGTACTCTCTTATAATCATTTTTACAGCTAATTCGACCAAATAAAAAATAATGTAACCAATGCATCACAAGTCTATGTGGAGTAAGGACGATACTTTTTATGCTTTTAGCTCTGACAGTACTAGAGTATATGTAAGGGTCTTAGATTGGGCAAAGGTTTGAGGGAGGTGAAAAATCATTCTTCAGAGCCTGAGACTGAAAGAAACTAGGCTAGCATTACAGGAATTTAGTCAAAGATAGATGTTTTTATTAAATTTGGAGATGGGAATTTGATAGGTCGGGCATGCATTTTTTACTGTATAGTTTTCTTTAATTGAACTTTTTATAATGTGGATATAACACTATCATAAGAACAAAAAGTAAATAGCTTCTGGTTTTATTAAAGCTCAGATTAAATAAATAATCCAGCCTGACATATTGATAACCTATTTTGTCCTACTGCTATTGGGGTTATCTTTTCAGACTTGGAATAACCATACAGAGGTAGACAAACATTTCTGTAGGTCTGCACTCATTTAGAATGTCCCCACAAATCTACTTTAGGTTGAAACATGTAGCTTTTAGCTCAACAAATACTTGAAGAATAACACATTATGGTCCAGGCCATGAATATATTCCCATGCTATTAATTTATCTCCTCTGGCCAGTAGGTTAAACTTCTGTAAGAAAGGTTAACTTCCAGGGAAAAGTTAAAGTCCCTTGCCAAACATAAACCGAATTCTTTCCTACAACCAAGCTCAATATATTCAACTTATGAGATACAATAAGTCACTCACATAGAGCAGGATTTCACAACCTTGGCATTATTGACATTCTGGAACAGATAATTCTTTGTTGGGGGGCTGGCCTGTACACCATAGGATGTTTAGCAGCATCCCTTACCTCTCTACCTACTAGATGCCAGAAGAACCCTCTCCCAGTTGTGACAACCAAAAATGTCTGTAGACACTGACAATATCTCCTGGGGACAAAATCGCTTCCAGTTGAGAATCAGTGACATAGAATAAGAAAATTAATTACACGTGGATACTCTAAATTTTGCAGTATCCCTGTGACCCACCATTTTACTTAGTTTTGACTGATAAGTGGTGGCTGAGAGCAAATGCCACTTATTTTCTGCCTAACAGTATAAACATACTTTACAAGAAAAAGGAGAAATTTAAGTTGATGATTAGTTGGCCTACAAATACAATAAAGATTATACTTGGGCTACACTATAACATGCTTAGGGTTCATTCTAGGGCTGTGTTATATTCTGAGGTTTTCTGAGGAGACTGGATAATTAAGTTCTTTGGCATTGTACCACTGCTTCTAATCCAATATTGTACTGGAGTCCTAGCCAAATAAGGATAAGACAAGAAAAAAAAGGTACAAAGATTGGAAAGGAAGAAACAACTATTCTTATTTGCCACTAATATAATTCCAACAGATCTTTGGACAAACCATTATAACTAGGTAAGGGAGTTCAACAAGGTTGCTAGATATAAGAATCAACATAAAGACCAATGGCATTCCTACACACAATAGTCAATGAGGAAATGTAACAAAAAAGTCACATTCATAGTAGAAAGAAAAACTAACTTACTTAGACATAAACTAATAAAAAATGTAAGAGACTACTCAGGAGAAAACTGTAAAACATTACTGAAGGACATTAAAAGCCCTAAATGAACAGAGAGACATGTGTACAGATGAAAGGAGTAAATTTTTCAAAACTGTGAATTCTCAGATTAACCTATAAATCCAAAGTAATTCCAATAAAAATAACAACAGTGTTTTCATGGAACATAACAAACTGATCCTAGAATTTACAGCAAAGACAAAGTCAAGAAGAGCTAAGCTAATTCTGAAGAACATACAATTAGCTCACCAGATACCAACTTATACAGCTATATAGTAATGAAGACAATATGGTATTGGTTGGGACAAACAACCGTTGAAACAGGAAAGGGGATCTAGAAAATTCTGCATATATGGGAAACTGATGTATGACAAAGGTGGTACTATATGAGGTAATGACAGGTTGGCCCCAACAAATAAGTGTCATTCTTCTCTTTTGGTTCAAGTAAAGGGACAGTGAGAAGTTTCAAAGGGCACTATGGAGGTGAGAAAACTGCTGAAAACTGAATTATAATTTGCCAAAATATTGGGCTTTTCCTGGCTGGGGGTTCCTAAACCATGCAGAGGCTAAGCTAACGTGGAATTCTCAAGCATAACCAACACCCAGACAATAGCCTACAGGAGACTCCACACAGGTATTTCTGTACTTCTTCCAATTTAAAGCTCCATGGTCTCGAATATGGATTGTTTTCAGAAATGGTAAAAAGAAAAAAATGTTATGTATTAGCAAAGAGAGCCTCTTTGGGGACTACTCCTATCGTATCACATACTCAGAGTGGGAGATGTAGTTGGAAATGTTATGCCCTTACTCTCTATTCCCCACAACCCCATTTGTCCACATGCGAGGTGGCACATTCTTGTCTTGGGCTAGAGAAGAGTGACTAAAGTTTTTTCAGAGCTTTCCCTGCACCAACAATAGCCTTGTTGACTACCTTAGAAAGGGGAAAAAAATCAACTTAAAGTTTATTTGCACCTTAAAAGTTCATGATAAAAATGCAAATACAGTAACAAAAACATCCTCACCCAATCTATAATTTTAAGTAATTTATTTCAATAGAAATATTTCAGAAAACTGTACTTAAATTCATCTTAAGTTAGCTTATGCAGACACACTGAAGATCGCACACTCACATTTGCATATTAAAAAGAAACAAAAAGTGAGAGAGGAACCAAGCTGCACATCACTCAAGGAGGTCATAGTGCAATCGAGTGCTTCATCATTAGAGTACCTCAAGTTAATTGGGATAAAGAATAAAAATGGCTTGTGTTTTCAGATATATTATCATCACTGGGTACCTGTCCTTACAGATGTTTGATCTCCTTCAGATTATGTTGTGAACCAGTTCCCCACCCCCTCCCCACACACATGTTCTTTAGTAGGATGTAAAACAATGAATTTGTCAATAATCAAGGTACAGAAACTCTTGAGAGTCTGACTTATTATCAGCTATTTTACCATACCTATTAAGTCAGTAATTATTGGACTATATATGTGAGTAGTTCTAGTAGGTCATATCTTCAGGGGAAACAATATTTGTTATCTGGTATCTAAAGCACAGCTATTATTTATGAAGTTTCTGCTTTTCTATTAAGAAAAAAAAGAGCCCAATCCCAAAACACTGTAATTATGTATTCTTTTAATCCCATAATCACTTCTGTAGTACAAATGGCCAGGGTCAAAATTTAAATTTTGCTAACACTCCTCAAGGACCAGTTAACTCTTTCATTTGGCTTGAATGACTACTTGCCTACTCTGGAACATACTAGCCCTTTAAAAAAATGTGAAAAGAACATCTTGATTCAGGTTAACATCCAGTAGCTCTAGGTCTTCCAATAATCTGAGAGAAGCAAAATATTTCCAACTTTGCTTTCACTGAAAAAACTAGCTTAGTCTCTTAACTTTCCTTTAACTTATATATTAGAGATATTTTTACTTTCTTGTATATTTTCAAGAAAATAATAACTGGCAGGTTAAGTGACTACTTGTTTGTTTTGAGTGTTACTTAAATGTAAAAATAAATGGAAATAAATCTCATTTCTGGCCAAAGGGATTTTCATTACAAGATTTCAGTACATTTAACAAAACTCAAATATTTCTGGTTGTATCTTATTCTTTTAGGGCTTTTCCAAAAGGCCTTACAATTAAATGTATGCTCAAAACATCAACAACAAAATAAAAATGAACTTGGCTGAAGAGTGCTCTTCAAATTTGTTTTTAAGAGTGCTTATCTAAAGGTTGACTGGGGTGGGTTTATTTTTAATCTCCTACTCTAAAAGGATAGAAGCAGGGTAGGAGCTTGTTTAAAAAGACTCAAAAACCAAGGAAGACTGCAACAATCACCTACAGAGGTTTCTGTAAAGACTTTGTTAGACTTGGGGTGAGAAAGATTAAGCTGGTGGAGAGAGGGATAGCACACACTCCTGAAATAAGAGGAGCAAGAGGGCACATGATTATTGTCATACTTGATGCCCTAAAATTGCTCTTCAAATAATAAGGCACTGACCAAATTTTCTCCCCACTATAACCTGAAACATAGGTGTAATCAAATTGCTTTCAATAAGCAAAAGAGTTTTTATGCCTGGATCTCTTTCATTAGAACCCTCCAAATAGGGAAAAAAATGTCACTTTAGACACAAGCCATTTTTAGGGGAGCAAAATCAAAGGTACTTAAATCATTTTGAGAAGGTTCACATGGAAAGTAATTCATCATCAATGTGATTAAATAGCAATATTTGTATCTCAAAGCTTAGAAAAAACAGAATACCACTTTGGCTGTAAAATCATATATTTACTATGTTTGAAAGAAATAATACAAAAAAGAGAGGAAAATAAAAGCAAACCCTAAAAGGTCACTAAAGAAGTCATACCAACCTCATCACTTGCTTTGTATCATCTATTCATGCAACAGCAGTACTATTACTCCACCTGGACACAGTTAAACTCATCTTCCTTTTCAAAAAGGGATCCAATTATTTCAAAAACCTTTGAAGCAGAGGATTTGCTTTATTAAAGATTATCTTCTGTTAGGCAACACTGGCACCCCTTGTTTGCAGAAGATGATTACGTGGTGGTTTAAACACTGGTTGTAAAGGAATGTGCCTCAAAAAAACAGGAAGGAAATCAATACCAGATCTATTCATTTAAAAAGCTAATGGATGGAACCCATTACTATTGATTTTCAATTAGTATGATGCCCTATAGTTTTGTTTTCAGTAGTAAAGGTATACAGTTTACGATTTAACCTTAAAAAGAAATAAAAGACTTATGCTCAAGTCATTTGGCCAAAAGATCAACAGGCTGCTCTTTGAGGGCCCCAGTTTAAGCTAATAAGGAAAGCTAGAGTCTGTAAACATGTTTTCCATTCTTTTTTCCTCCTGTACCAATAGTGCTTCCTAGGCTCCTCATAAATCTTCTAGAAGAGGAATAAAGCCACTTATACAAACTTTGCAGTTATAAACACCCTGACTTTTGATATACAGAAAGAACCAATACCAACACAGTCCACACAGAAGGTAGTGCAATAGTTACATGGCATTTTCCACACAGAAAAAAATATTTGAAATTGAAGCACATGCCTAGGGAGAAAAAAATACTGAAACTCAAATTGTTTGGATCCCTTTTTGTAATGTTTGCCCAAATAATATTTACATAGTGAAGAAAACAAAATAGGAAGGTGTGTTTGATCAGTTCTTGTTCAATTCTTACTGTCTGGAGGTAAAAATCATATTCTGAAAAACAAGCAGAGCCTGAACAGAGCGGGCACGAGGCCAAAAACAGTGCTCTGGAAGGTCATTCTGTAGTTATTTTCAACAGGCTATATAACATGCCAATCATTATGCTTATCATAAACAGGCTTAAATTGAAATTATAACTGAATTTCTAATGAGTTCTTCTTGGCTAAGGGTGAAACAAATGACCTGAATGCTGATGAACATTTTGAGTTTTTGAGTCACTTATTTACAATTGAGGGCAGGCTTAATAAGAAGATTCATCTTCCCACGAATGAACTACCTATATATTTAATATATTTTGGTAACATATTTTCTTTGAATTATTATCAGGTATTATTTGGTAAATTATAGATAAAAAATTCACCTACACTATTTTAAGTCACTTTTCTGTTTTCAATTTGCTTCAAATGCTAAAATAATCTTAAAAAGCAATGACTAATTTTCTGAATGAATAAATTTTAAAGACAGAAAAACAACGACTTCTGTGCTGTTAAGAAATTTAGTCAGTCAGAGGCCACAAGTCTATCTATAAACTATTAACCAAATTTGAACGCTATCTTACTCTACGCAAACATCCATTAATGTTTAGAGCCGAAAGTATCAAAAACATCTTCCAGCTTAGCTCTCTCCCTTTGGCAAAACTATGTGATGTCAGGCTCTGACTTCCAACTGCATATTTCCACAGATATGGTTAACCTACAACATTTCTACGTTAGCTTATTATGACAAACAAATGAAATAAAAAAAATCCACAGGGTTCTCATTCACAATACTTTTTAAAAAAGCACATACACTGTTAAAAACGCTATTTCTGAAGAGAAATAAACAAATTAAGAAATTTTTAAAAATGCAAAACAAAAGTAAGATGTGCAAGGTCTACGTAGTAATACTGCTGGCTATGTCTTTCTATTACCCAACATGGGTTAAGCTTAGAGCATTAATTGAAAAATCATTCAGGACAGGAAACTTTTGTCCTCTCCAGCCTGTGTCACTAAACCCCAGAAATAATGGTATTTCTGTTACATAAGAAGCATATTTGAACTCTTAACATCTTTTCCAAACAGAATACTAAATTAAAAAACTTAACACTCAAAAAAAGCTCTTCTCTTTTCCTTTGGATGGATTTTAAGCTAATTATTGTATAAGCAATATTTTCTATTGAAGTTTCATGGACTCAAGGGCAAAATACTTATAATAAAAAAGTATAAAATTCTCTAAGAATACGAATGTGAGAAATTTTATGTGAGGCCCAAAGTAACAGAAGTCTATTAGTAGATATCAGTCACAAAGCATTACCTTACTCTAGGCCACTGCTAAAATTCATTATGTCTCAAGAGTTTATAACATTCGACATATAGCCTTTGTTTGAGTGTCATTTTTCATTAAAATTCTAAGGCATCTTACCTTCAAACTTTTTTTTTAATAATTCAACATTTACTTTAGAAATTAAATGCATCATTGCATAGAAGAGTTCTCATAAAACTGCTTGGTCAACTACTGACAAAATACGGTTTCATGTCAGAGACCGACAGTAAATTTTCAGAAAAATGTTTTGGTATGTTTATGGTAAATCATACAAGTATAAAGTTTAGATACTTAAAATTTCCAGAATCTGATATTTTCACCTTTATCCCTCTTAAAATTATTTTGTATGTCTTATAACAAAATATATACATACATCTCTATGTGTTACCTTTTAAACAAATATGATCCTGAATCTCATATTGAACAAAAAGAGAGAAAATGAATAATAAAAAAATAACTCTGGCATTATGCACATCAAACACTGTAAAAGAAAATATCCTGACAAAATATCAGTCTGTCTTGATGATAAAAACCACCTATGACTGGGAGAAGGGAAAACCCAATTAACTTGGAAAAAGATCTAATTATTGTAAAATCTCAGAAAAGTTTAGGTTGGGATTATAGCTCTTTACTTAAGCAGATCTGTGGTCCAACAATGAATTCATATAGAAAGCTAAACTTTAACCCTAGTTAGAAACAACCATGTTTTCTGGAACCTATTTAAAAAAAAAGCGTCTGGCAAATGAACACACAGCCTTTGTACCTCCTGCAGGAAATAATGTTCCCCTTACAGTACTACATTTCAGAAGTTTAGTGTTTAAAAAAATTCTCCCCTCATCCAAAACAAAACAAACACCCCCACCCAATCCCAAACAAACCCAAGAACTCACATGACTAACATTTCTCATTCCTACACTCTTGCTGTGAGAAAGCCAGTGAGGTTGCAGACTACTAGAGGGAGAACAAACCTTGCAGGTGGGCTGCTGGTACAATCCCTGCTAAGTCTCTTCACCTCGGTTCAAAACCAGCTCCTGATGGAATCCACAAGAGTATGTTTTTCCTTTTTAAAGCATATCTAAAAAAGGCAATTCCCCCCTCTAAAATTATTACAAAGTTAAAAGAAATGCAAATTAGCTACGATCTATTCCAAGCACAGCACCGCCAGAAGATTCACACACACTATTTGGTGTTTCATGTTGGTTTTCCTTTCATTCTTTTAAGGCAGTGGTTTCCACAGGTCAGTTCTGAGATAAGAAGCATGGTTCATGGCAGTTTGTTTTGCAACTCCAATTTGTTCTCTGGGAATATCTCAAATCATTCCCTGAAATTAGTGCTTTTTTGGTTGAGAACTCCAACGACTGAGACAGAGCCTCTGGGCTCTTCCTGGCACAGGATGGTTTATAGCTGGCGCTCTTTTATCAGGTCCTCATGCTCACGTAGAAGCAACAGTTCACCTCTCTTTTTTTCTCAGGCTTCTACTCAAAAGTCATCAAGTTTGTAGGAACCTAAAAAATATAAGCATTAAAAACTGAGTTTAAAAGTTGTTTTTCAAAGGAGTATTTCTTATCTTTCCTTGTTATTTAGGCAAGCCCAATCTTTCTACTTAAGTATCTTTTAAAAGGAACTTGATATAAGGAGCTTCAATAGTTTATGAATAATTAACATGCTAGAACATTTTTGAGAGAAAATCACCAAAATGAGTTAATACTCTTTCTAGTAAAATGACATCTATACAGGAGAAGGGGTAGAGACAATATCTTTCTTGTCTAACACAGGGGGCTCAGTAGACGTTTACTGAATGAATAAATGAGAGCAAGAGTAAGTATGACTCTGGTAGGGTGAGATTCCAGATACACTTGTTTGCCATTATTTATTTTCTCATTATATATTACAAAAATTCCTAGGTGCATATTTTTAAAATCAGCAAAAATAATTTTATAACAAACATTACTAAGAATTTATTTGTAAAATCATGATTAAAATAAGTACAGAAAAACAAAATTCCTTATTAGAGTTTCACTATGTTAAAACAAATCCTCAAAACCAGTTTTCCAAAATACTGGGAGAGGTATTCATATGTCAGTGGTCTTTTCTGTCCTTAAGACAGCTCTCACAGTTTAGCAACCTCTCTCTGAAACCTATTATATGCAAAAACATAAATACCTTACAAGTGTCAGCTTCTGAATAAAAAAATTATGTTGGCCAATGTACTCATAACTGAATTACAAATCAAATACAACACAAATGCTCAAGTGCTTAAAGTATAAATTTTCAGGTCTGATTATAAGAAACTCATATTTGGCCGGGTGCGGTGGCTCACGCCTATAATCCCAGCACTTTGGGAGGCTGAGGCAGGCAGATCACCTGAGGTCAGGAGTTTAAGACCAGCCTGGCCAACATTGTGAAACTCCATCTCTACTGAAAATACAAAAATTAGCTGGGCCTGTGGTGGGTGCCTGTAATCCCAGCTACTCAGGAGGCTGAGGCAGGAGAATGGCTTGAACCCGGGAGGCAGAGGTTGCAGTGAGCCAAGATCGCACCATTGCACTGTCCAGGCTGGGCAACAAGAGTGAAACCCTGTCTCAAAGAAAAAAAAAGAAACTTGTATTTAAGTAAAGTAAAAGTTTCATTTCTTTTTAAGTTGCCTGAATGTGGTTTAAGATATTTTGCATTTGAGTCAGAGTTTTCTACTAAAACTTTCACAGGTTCTACTTACAAATTTGCCACTATTCTAATTCTTGCAAGTATAGAAACAAATATTTATACACGTCTGGTTGACTTGTTGCACAGAAATACTCACTAATACAGTAAAAGAAATTGAACCTTTAAGCTGGTATATGTATATATTGTCTAGATTCATCTTGGAATCTGAGATTGAAAAAAAAAGAGTCTTAATACCCTAAATTACATTTAAAGAAAATGTATAGCAATGAGGTGAATCCTGAAAGGCTTAGTCTAGACAAAGCCTGATCTGTTTCTTTCATTCTGCCCCAGACACTAACCTGACAAGGCAAAAAATAATTTTCGCTCTATGACATTTCATGTCCTTTATGGAGGTTGCTAAAAATGGTACTAAATACTGCTATTAGTGTTGCATATATATTTGAAACAATAAAAACTATGAGAGAACAAAGCCCACTCCAACAATATTTTAAAAAAATGCCCTCGGGATTGGGACAAGATGGCCAACTAGGCAAAGCCAGGAAGAGCTTCTCCCACCAAGAGAGATCTGAGTATCTAGTAGACCAGCATACTCCAAGCCTATCTTCTGAGAGGATGCACTGAGAGAAAATCACCGATTTTCTGAGAGTGGGTGGAGAGATGATGCAGAACCAGGGTTGAAGAGCGAAGAAGCTAGGAACCCTGCACAGGGCTGTGGAGTGCTGGGACTCATTCCTGGTCCTGAACAGCTCCTAAGGAAGGGGTGAGTAAAGTAACTGTGGAATGGCCCACTCTCACCACAAACCGCTGGGATCCTAGTGGCAGGAGATCCCATAGTCCTCCTGGATATTTGAGTTGCCAGGGGGAACTGCCTGGAGAGCTGGCAGAGACAGAACTTAGGTCTACATGGAGCCCAGGGGGTATGGTGTGGGGAAAGCTGCAAAGGAACACGGCCATAGGCGCCCACCCACCAAGGCTCTTCATACTCCTCTAGGTGGCTCTGACCTTTGCTAACTGCCATATTTGGAGAGAGCAGGGCTGTGTTTCCCATGGGACTGGGGTGAGTCTGAGCTGCATGTCCCACTGTCTACTGGCCCCTTCCAAGGTCCCTGTTTGGCCACTCCCATGGGAGCAGGCACACAGTGTAGCTTCCACTATTCTGTTGGAATGCTTTTGCGGGCGACTGTCACCATAGTGCTTTTACCAGTGGCCCCCACCATCCTGCCAGAACACTTTCAACAGTGGCCCCTGAGGAAGTGCTTTTGCCAGTAGCCTGATGGAGAGGTTTTGCCAGCAGCCTGGGAGCACCTTGGTCCACCCAGTGCAGCCGGTGGTCGACCTCAAGAGGCCAGAGGAAAAAGCCAGGGGCCCAGTCCCAGCCCCTTGGGAGTTACAGGACACAGCCCAGGAGTGCCAAGCTGAACCTTGGTTCTCTGAAGACATCCAGAAAGGAAGCCAATTGACTATACCCAACTTATACCACAGTCAAACCCTGAAGGGAAATCAAAAACATAAAAACAAAAAGCACCATCCAAAAGTCAGCAACTTCAAAGGATAAAGGAATATCAGCCCTCACAGATGAGAAAGAACCAATGCAAGAACTCTAGCAACTCTAAAAACCACAGTGTCTTCTTACCTCCAGACAACTACAATAGGTTCCCAGCAATGGTTCTTAACCAGACTGAAATGACAGACTTTGGATTTAGAATCTGAATAGCAAGGAAGCTCAGTGAGATACAGGAAAAAGTGAAACCCAGTTTAAGGAAAACAGTAAAACAATCCAAGAGTTGAAAGATAACACAGCCATTTTAAGAAAGAACCAAACTGAACCTCTGGAATTTAAAAATTCACTCTAGAAATTTCTTTCTTTTTCTTTTCTTTTTTTTTTTTTGAGATGGGAGTCTTGCTCTGTTGCCCAGGCTGGAGTGCGGTGGCATGATCTTGGCTCATTGCAACCTCTGCCTCCCAGGTTCAAGCGATTCTCCTGCCTCAGCCTCCCTAGTGGCTGGGACTACAGGTATGCACCAACATGCCCAGCTAATTTTTCTATTTTTAGCAGAGACGGGGTTTCACCATGTTGGCCGGGCTGGTCCCGAACTCCTGACCTCAAGTGATCTGCCTGCCTTGGCCTCCCAAAGTGCTGGGATTACAGGTGAGAGCCACCACTCCCAGCCTAGGAATTTCATAATGCAATTGGAAGCATTAACAACAGAATAGACCAAACCAAGGAAAGAATCTCAGAACTCGAAGAGCACTCCTTCAAATTAACAGAGACAAACATTAAAGAAAAAAATTTTAAAAATGAGCAAAACCTTTGATAAATATGGGATTATGTAAAGAGACTAAACCTATGACTCACTGGTGTTACTGCAAGAAAAGGAGACAGAGTAAGCAACTTGGAAAACATATTTGAGGATACGATCCACAAAAATTATCCCAATCTTGCTACAGAAGTTGATGTGCAAACTCAAGAAATTCAGACTCCCCACAAGATACTATACAAGATGAGCATCCCCAAGACACTTAATCATCACATTCTCCAAGGTCAATGCAAAAGAAAAAAATCTTAAATGGAGCTTGAGAAAAGGGGCAGTAAAGGGAACCTCATCAGGTTAACAGTGGACCTTTCAGTAGAAGCCTAACAAGCCAGAAGAGGCTGGGGGCCTATTTTTAGCATCCTTAAAGAAAAGAAATTCCAACTAAGAATTTCATGTCCCACCAAACTAAGCTTCATAAGTGAAGGAAACAGAAAATCCTTTTCAGACAAGCAAAGACTAAGGAATTCACTATCATCAGACTTGCCTTACAAGAGGTCCTTTAAGGAGTGCTACATGTGGAAATGAAAGAAAAATAACTGCCACCACAAAAACACACTTAAGTATATAGTCCACTGACACTATAAAGCAACTATACAATGAAGTCTACATAACAAGCAGCTAACAACATGATGACAGGATTAAATCCTCACACATCAATAGTAACCTTGAATGTAAACAGGCAAAAAAGGCAAAGTGATAAGCTGGCCAAAGAAGCAAGACCCAACTGTCTGCTATCTTCAAGAGAACCATCTCACATGTAACAACATACTAGGTGCAAAGTAAAGGTAAGGAGCAAGATTTATCAAGCAAATGGAAAACAAAAAAGAACAAAGGTTGCTAGTCTTATATTAGATACAACAGACTATAACAATGGTCAAAAAGGACAAAGAAGGGCATTACATAATGATAAAGGGTTCAATTCATCCAGAAGACTTAACTATCCTAAAGATACATGCACCCAACATTGGAGCATCTAGATTAGGAAAACAAGTTCTTAGAGACCTACAAAGAGACTTAGATAACTACATAATGGAAGACTTCAACACCCCACTGATAGTGTCAGGCAGATCACTGAGGCAGAAAACTAACAAAAATGTTCTGGACTTAAACTCAACATTTGACAAACTAGACCCAACAGACATCTACAGAATACTTCATTCAACAACACAAGAATATACATTCTTTTCATTGGCACAAGGCACATTCTCTAAGATCAACCACATGCTTGGGCATAAAGCAAGTGCCAACATATTCAAAAAAATTGAAATCATACCAACCATAGCCTCAGACTACAGTACAATAAAACTAGAAATCAATACCAAGAAGTTTTCTCAAAACCACACAATTATATGGAACTTAAACAACTTTCTTCCAAATGACTTTTGGGTAAAGAATGAAATTATGACACAAATCAAAAAATGATTTAAAACTAAGGAAAACAGAGACACAACATATCAGACTCAATACCTATGTCAAGAAGTTAGAAAGAGCTCAAATTAACAACCTAACATCATACCTTGAGGAACTAGAAAAACAAAACAAAAGGAAACCAACCCCAAAGCTAGCAGAAAAAAAGAAATAACCAAAATCAGAGCAGAAGTGAATGAAATTGAGATGTGAAAATGCATACAAAAAAGCAATGAACCAAAAGTTGGTTCTTTGAAAGAAAAAACAAGATCGATAGACTGGTAGCTAGATTAACAAATAAAACAAGAGAAAAGATCCAAATAATCACAATCAGAAATTACAAAGGTGACATACAACTGACTCCAAAGAAATACAAAAAATCCTCAGAGACTAACACTTATATGCACACAAACTAGAAAACCTAAAAGAAATGGATAAATTCCTGGAAACACAACCTCTGAAGATTGAATGAGGAAGAAACTGAATCCCTAAAAAGACCAATAATGAGTTCCAAAACTGAATCAGTAATAAACAACCTACCAACCCAAAAAAGCCTTGAAATAGGTGGATTTCACAGTTGAATTCTACCATATGTACGAAAAAGAGCTAGTACCAATCCTACTGAAAATATTCCGAAAAATCGAGAAAGAAAAGACTCCTCCCTAACTCATTCCATGAAGCCAACATCATTCTGATTCCAAAAACTAGCAGAGATACAATGAAAAAACAGAACTACAGGTCAATATACCTGATGAACAGACACAAAAATTCTCAACAAAATATTAGCTAACTGAATCCAGCAGCATATCAGAAAGTTAATTCACCACAATCAAGTAGACTTTATTCCTGAGATGCAAGGTTGGTTCACCAGATGCAAATCAATAAATGTGATTCACCACATAAACAAAATTAAAAACAGAAAACCATATGATCATCTCAAAAGATGCAAAAAAGGCTTTTGATAAAATTCAACATCCTTTCATGTTAAAAGCCCTCAACAAATTAGGCACTGAAAGAACATATCTCAAAATAGTAAGAGTCATCTATGGCAAACCCACAGCAACATCATTCTAAATGGGCAAAAGTTGGAAGTATTCCCTTACAGAACTGGAACAGGACAAGGATGCCCACTCTAACCACTCCTATTCAACATAATACTTACTGGAGGTCCCAGCCAGAGCAATCAGACACGAGAAAGAAATAAAAGGCATTCAAATAGAAAGAGGAAGTCAAACCATCTCTCTTCAGACTATATGATGTTATGTCTAGAAAACCCCATAGTCTCTGACCCAAAGCTCCTAGATCTGATAAACAACTTCAGCAAAGTCTCAGGATACAAAATCAATGTACAAAAATCAACAGCATTTCTATACACCAATAACACTCAAACTGAGAGCCAAATCAAGAACACAATTCCATTTACAATAGCCACAAAAAGAAAAAAATATCTAGGGATACAGCTAATCAAGGAGGTAAAAGATCTCTACTATGAGAATTACAAGCCGGGCACAGTGGCTCACGCCTGTAATCCCAGCACTTTGGGAGGCGGAGGTGGGTGGATCACGAGGTCAGGAGATCGAGACCATCCTGGCTAACACAGTGAAACCCTTTGTCTACTAAAAATACAAAAAATTAGCTGGGCGTGGTGGCATACGCCTGTACTCCCAGCTACTCGGGAGACTGAGGCAGGAGAATCGCTTGAACCCGGGAGGTGGAGGTTGCAATGAGCCGAGACCGCGCCACTGCACTCCAGCCTGAAGACAGAGCAAGACTCCGTCTCCAAAAAAAAAAAAAAAAAAAAAAAATTAAAAAAGAAAAAGAGAATTACAAAAATTGCTCAAAGTAATCAGAGATGACACAAACAAATGGAAAAGCATTCCATGCTCATGGATTGGAAGAATCAATACTGTTAAATGTCCATATTGTCCAAACCAACCTACAGATTCAATGCTATTCTTATCAAACTACCAATGACATTCTTCAAAGAATTAGAAAAAACCATTAGAAAATTCATATGGGAACAACAACAACAACAACAACAACAAAAGCCCAAATAGCTAAAGCAATTCTAAGTAAAAAGAACAAAGCTGAAGGCATCACACTACCTGACTTCAAACTATACTACAAGACTACAGTAACCAAAAAATAGCATGGTACTGGTACAAAAACAGATACCAATGGAACAGGATAGAACCAATGGAACAGTATAGAGAGCCCAGAAATAATGCCTCACACCTACTACCATCTGATCTTTGACAAAGCTGACAAAAACAAGCAATGGGGAAAAGGCTCCCTATTCAATATGCTGCTAGGATAACTGGATAGCCATATACAGAAGATTAAAACTGGACCCCTTCCTTACACTGTATACAAAAATCAACTCAAGATGGATTAAAGACTTAAATGCAAAACCTAAAACTATAAAAACCCTGAAAGATAACCTAGGATATACCATTCTGGACACAGGCCCTGGCAAAGACTTCATGATGAAGACTCCAAAAGCAGTTGCAACAAAAACAAAAACTGACAAACAGGACCTAATTAGAGAGCTTCTGCAGAGCAAAAGAAACTATCAGCAGAATAAACCAACATTCCTAGAGAATGGGAGAAAATATTTTCAAACTGTGTATCTGAAAAAGGTCTAATATCTAGAATCTATAAGAAACTTAAATTTACAGGCAAAAAACAACCCCATTAAAAAGTGGGCAAAGGACATGAACAGACACTTCTCAAGAGAAGAAATACACATGGCCAACAAGCATTTGAAAAACGGCCAATATCACTAATTGCCAGAGAAATGCAAATCAAAATTGCAATGAGATACCATCTCACACCAGTCAGAATGGCTAAGTCAAAAAATAACAGATGTTGGCAAGGTTGCAGAGAAAAGGGAATGCTTATACACTTGGTAGGAATGTAAGTTCAGCCACTGTGGAAAGCAGCTTGGAGATTTCTCAAAGATCTTGAAACAGAACTACCACTGAACCCAGCAATCCCATTACTGAGCATATACCCAAAGGAAAATAAATTGTTCTACCAAAAAGACACATGTATGTTCATCCCAGCAGTATACACTATAGCAAAGACATGGAATCAACCTACGTGCCTGTCAACAGTGGATTGGATAAAGAAAATGTGGTACATATATGCTATGGAATACTACACAGTGATTTTTAAAAAACAGTGAAATTATGCCCTTGGCAGCAACATGAATGCAGCTGGAGACCATTAAGTGAATTAATCCAGGAACAGAAAACCAAATACTGCATGTTCTCACTTGTAAGTGGGAGGTAAACATTGAATACACCTAGACACAAAGATGGGAACAATCGACACTGAGCATTACCAGAGTGGGGAGGGTGGGAGAGGGGTGACGGTTGAAAAACCAGTGGGTACTCTGCTCACTAACTGGGTGACAGGATCATTTATACACCAAACCTCAGTGACACACAATATACCCATGTAACAAACCTGCACAAGTACCCTCTGAACCCAAAAGTCAAAAAACAAACAAAAAGAATGGACTTAAAGGATGAAGAAAGTTTGAATCCACCATTTTTTACTTGTGTGACCTGTGTAGGTCATTTTGTATTATGGAGCCTTAGTTTCAATTATCAAGAAAGGGTAATAACTTACATCCTGATATGACAGGGTGAAAAATACTTCTGTAAGCTTTCTAAGCTTATATAGTGCATCATATTCAATATTACCTACTGATAATGCTAACCATAGACTTCTGCATTATCAATATGCTAAGTCAATGATTTTCAAATATATTTAACAAACAACTGGTTCTACAAAAAGTCTATATAAATTTCTATAAATGTGGCTATGTGTTTTATGTCTGCTCTACCAATCTGTGGTTCAACTCTAACTGTGCAACAGGGTTTGGGGAAAACAACACAATGGATTCCTGCTCTTCTGCAGCTGAAAGCCTTTCAATTAGACCATTTTTGTTTCAGTAAAATAAAAGCAAACAAAATTTAAATGGTTTTTGGTTTCACTACCACCACAGAAACCCACATCAAATTGTCAATAGATCAAATAAAGATGAATTCGAATAATTTTTATTAATTTAATATGCCATCTAATTTTTACCCTTTAGAGAACTATACTCTGACTACTATACTAGCTACCTTTCTGTGCTTTGAACTCACCTTAAGCTTGTTCCAGCTTCAGGCTCCCTGCACTTGCTCTTCCCTTACACAGCACTCTGCTCTCCTCTTCTTATAGCTCGTTCCTTCTTGTGGTTCTTGTCAATACCATCTCCTCAGGGAGATCTTTGCTGCCCAACCTTATGTTATCAAAAGTTGTCTGTACTCCCATTGCTCTATATCACATACGTCTATTGTTTTCTTTATATAGTTCTGACTGTTCGAAATTTTGTTACTTGTTTGCATGATTACTGTCTAGCTCCTCACTAAGATGTAGACCTTCATATCTTATTAACTGTAATCAACAAGAATAAAAACACCACCATTCTCCTAGTTAATTCAGAACTAGTCTGTTTACTTCTCTTGGAACTCTTTTACATATGTTCCCAAATTATGGACTATTCTGAGAATTAGGAGAAATGCTTACCTGTTGTTTGTTACTTTGGCAGGCTGCACTCAAATGCTTAAACCATAACATTGCATTCATTCTATTGCCAGCTTGAAACTTGTACGAATTTCCTAAAATTATCCAAAATAAGGGGGAAATATTAAAAATGTAAGGACGACACATAATAATTCTGCCAGATAATAATGAGCAAATTAAACATGACTAGAGTTTTCAGTTTTAGAATTCTATTCAACACCTCCATTTTATTGTATTTCCTATTTTTATTGTATTTCCAATACAATAAAGAGTTCTCGATGCAACACATTTACATGCTATCATATATTCAGAAAGTCACTTTTGCTGCTTATGAATTAGAAGAAATAATTTTGTCTCCTTAAATATTCTTTAGAATGAAATACACCTACATAAAATAACTGTGTGGCATCTCTAGATCTGTGTGGATAAGACTGCAGAATATTGGTTCTGAATACTTACTACTTAGATGATCTAAATATTAGATTTTTTTTTTTTTGAGATGGAGTCTCGCTCTGTCGCCCAGGCTGGAGTGCAGTGGCACAATCTCAGCTCATTGCAACCTCTGCCTCCCAGCTTTATGAGATTCTCGTGTCTCGGCCTCCCAATAAGCTGGGATTACAGGTGTGCACCACCATGCCCAGCTAAGTTTTTTGTATTTTTAGTAGAGACGGGGTTTCACCATGTTGGCTAGGCTGGTCTCGAACTCCTGACCTCAAGTGATGTGCCTGCCTTGGCTTCCCAAAGTGCTGGGATTGCAGGCATGAGCCCCCACACCTGGCCTAAATATTAGTAGATGTTAATGTTAAGTTTTAACATGCCAGAATGCTTCAATATGTTTAATACTTAAACACTAGCTATTCAGTATAATTAAGGATTAGTCATATAACATTGATAGACTATGCTTTTAGTCTTTAGTTACAAGATATTTGTCAATATTATTACAGATTTCCAGTTCTGTTGAGGGCTCTTGGGGAAAGTCTAGGAGGCAACTTTCTCTCTTTTAAGAAATTAGATATTCATTTGTGCTGTGTGTATTTTGTAATTTCTATATTGACTTTAATTCAAGACTGACATATAATGAGGATATTTTAAATGGTTATATGTATTAAGGTGAGAAAACAAATTGAGAAAAGAAAGGATCCATGTACTATAGGCTGCTCTAAATTAAGCTTTATTTCCTTTTTTCATTGACCTAAGTTCTTTTTATTTCACAATTTGTGCTGAATTCTATTCTTTCCTTAATAACTGCATTCAATGGCTCAAGAGCCTAACTATATTTAAGCATTATTCAGCTTTTCCTTGAGATTCTAACACTCAAAATAACTTTTTCACTTTCTGAAGTAATTGTTTCTTCACCAAATGTTTAGTCAAGTAACACCGTTACACTTGCTGAACTCAGACACAGACATTAGGTCAATGTGAAAAAAAGCCATATCTACAATAAAGCTGGCCACAGCTACAATTTACATACTCACCCCTCCCCCGCAAAAAACCATTAGTATAGATAGACTTCATAAAATTTTGGCTACCTGAAGTAGTTCTATTAGGCATGCTAAGAGAAACTGAAGAAAACAAAGAATCTGTTAACTAAATCCAATGAAAATGCTCTCATCTTGAAATGTAATTTCGTGAATTATGCCTTTGATATGGGAAGGAGGCTGGGGCTTTGAATTCAAAATTTTGAGTAGGCTTCTATACACCAACAATGACCAAACAGAGAATCAAATCAAGAATTCAACGCCTTTTATAATAGCTGCAAAACAAAACAAAACAAAAAACCACTTAGGAATATACCTAACAAAGGAGTCGAAAGAGCTCTACAAGGAAACTACAAAACACTGCTGAAAAAAATCACTGATGACACAAATAAATGGAAACACATCCCATGCTCATGGATGGGTAGAATCAATATTGGGAAAATGACTATACTGCCAAAAGCAAAATCTACAAATTCAATGCAATCGCCATCAAAATACCAGTATCATTCTTCACAAAATCAGAAAAAACAATTCTAAAATTCACATACAATCAAAAAAGAGCCCACCACAGCCGAAGCAAGACTAAGTGAAAAGAACAAATCTGGAGGCATCACACTACCTGATTTCAAACTATACCGTAAGGCCACAGTCACCAAAACAGCATGGTACTGCTATGAAAATAGGCACATAGACCAATGGAATAGAATAGAGAACTCTGAAGTAAACCCAAATACAGCCAACTGATCTTTAACAAAGCAAACAAAAACATAAAGTGGGGAAAGGACACCCTTTTTAACTAACGGTGCTGGGATAATTGGCTAGCCGCATGTAGGAGAATGAAACTGGATCCTCATCTCTCACCTTATACAAAAATCAACTCAAGATGAATTAAGGACTTAAATCTAAGACCTGAAACTATAAAAATTCTAGAAGACAACATTGGAAAACTCTTCTAGACATTGGCTTAGGCAAGGATTTCATGACCAAAAACCCAAAAGCAAATGCAATAAAAACAAAGATAAATAGTTGGGACCTAATTAAACTAAAGAGCGTTTGCACAGCAAAAGCAACAGTCAGCAGAGTAAACAGACAACCCATAGAGTGGGAGAAAATCTTCACAATCTATACATCTGACAAAGGACTAACATCTAGAATCTACAATGAACTCAAAACGAATCAGTAAGAAAAAAACCAATCCCATCGAAAAGTGGGCTAAGGATATGAATAGACAATTCTCAAAAGAAGATACACAAATGGCCAACAAACAAATGAAAAAATGCTCCATATCACTAATGATCAGGGAAATGCAAATCAAAACTACAATGAGATACTAGCTTACTCCTGCAAGAATGGCCATAATAAAAAAAATAAAAAAACAGTAGATGTTGGCATGGATGTGGTAAACATGCAACACTTCTACACTGCTGGTGGGAATGTAAACTAGTACAGCCACTATGGAATACAGTGTGGAGATTCCCTGAGGAACTAAAAGTAGAACTACCATTTGATCCAGCAATCCCACTACTGGGTATCTACCCAGAGGAAAAGAAGTCATTATATGAAAAAGATACTTGCATGCGCATGTTCACAGCAGCACAATTCACAATTGCAAAATCATGGAACCAACCCAAATGCCCATCAATCAACGAGTGGATAAAGAAACTGTGGTATATATATGTGATAGAATACTACACAGCCATAAAAAGGAATGAATTAACAGCATTTGCAGTGACCTGGATAAGATTAGAAACTATTATTCTAAGTGAAGTAACTGAGGAATGGAAAACCAAACATCATATGTTCTCACTGATACGTGGGAGCTAAGCTATGAGGATGCAAAAGCATAAGAATGATACAATGGACTTTGGGGACTTGGGGAGAAAAGTGAGAAGGGGGATGAGGGTAAAAAGACTACAAACAGAGTGCAGTGTATGCTGCTCGGGTGATGGGTGCACCAAAATCTCACAAATCACCACTAAACAACTTACTCATGTAACCAGATACCACCTGTACCCCAATAACTTATGGGAAAAAAAATGTTGAGTAGGGTGTATTTATTCTGTAAATCAATCTACTTAATCTAAAAAGAAGACATTTTGGTATTATTTTTTCCTGCCTCCAACATATTTGCTTACTTGTTTACTTAAAACACTGAAACATAAAAGTGGGATATCTGTTGATACAAAATAGTATCTGAATAAACAGAGGTCAAAATATAGTTGTGAAGTCAATAAAAGGTAACATAGTATTCCAGTTGTGAACTGCTGAAAGTATCTTTCTGGTACTTGTCAACAGCTAGCAGTTGTTATGATGGAAGAAAAGCAACCACTTGGGGATATTTTCTGATGAGCCTTGAGGTATCCACTATAGTCACAGGTAGAGTAAGAAGAACATATGATGTGATTATACATGGCCCATCCTCCAATTTCTCATATCTACTTTATAAACTCCAATGGTCAATAGCCAGTTATTTTATTCATAAGTGTCTCTCTATATACTGTATGTAAAATATTATAATTAACTTGGAAAGTGATCTGAGCCAAATATATTCAGAAAGTCACTGTTTTGCTGCTTATGGATTAAAAGAAATAATTTTGTTCTTAAATATTCTTTAGAATAAAATACATCTAAATAAATACAATAATTGTGTGGCATCTCTAGATCTGTGTGGATAAGACTGCAGAATATTGGTTCTGAATAATTTAATTAAAAGTGATAGAATAAATATTTAAAGGAAAACTCTGCCACTTTCAGAACTTAAGAATAACAATCCATTTCAAGGTATTGATGAAGGAAGCAGTATGGCCTATATGGCAAGTCTCTAAAAATTTGAAGTAACAATGGGGTATATATTCTCAAATTCCCTCCCTCCTTTCCTAGTTAGGTCTCTAGGGATTAGCTGGGCTTTTAATTTTCAAGCATATATGCCCATGGAGCAAAGAAAATAAGCTCCACAAATATTATTAAAATACATAATGGGACAGAAGTATTTCCCAATAGATAAAACTACACAAATACTTTCTCTCTTGAGTATTCCAGTGAAACTAGGTTTTGGCTCATCAAGTTCTTCATGTATGCATAAAACATTATATATATGACAAGTATACACACACACATACATACATACATATACACAAACACATACGCAGTATCGTAAGCCCCAGTTATTCTAACAATTCACCTTTCTCAGAGTCAGTCAGCAGGAAGAGATCAGGATGTTCAGGGTCATCAGCCATCATCACCATCCATCCTATCACAGATACGTTCTTATTGGATGTTGATTTGAACTGAGAGAAAAAAAGATAATTAGCGGAAACAGAAAATTTATGGTTTATTCTAGCAAAACTTCAGTGTTAGGGAGTGTATTTTCAGTTTCTCCTAATGAAAGATGAGATTTGTGACTTCATGCTGGTCTCAGCCAGCCTGGGGCCTTTTACTGCTGAATTTCATCCTAGGCATGCCTTCTTCAGATAATCTCCTACTTTCCAGACCTTCCCAGCTTCAACTCTGCATCAAAACCTAACTGATCTATTCCCTATTCCCAGAGAGCATGTTTGTGAATATGATATATTAATCTGTTGTTTTTTTTCTGAATTACTGTACTACTCCTTATAGGAAGGACATTTGCATTTTAGTAGCTATGCTGTCTTAAATCTGATGATGTAATAAATCAGCAGTGCTATCAGAGAGTTCTTTTTTTTTTTTTTGAGACAGTCTCACTCTGTTGCCCAGGCTGTGGTGCAGTGGTGTGATCTCAGCTCCCTGCAACCAGATAATTCTTAATGACAATATTCTTACTTGTATTTTTCAAAAAAGAAGGGTATTCTTAGCCTGTCTATTACTTTTGTAGTTAACCATTCTTTTATTATTATTTTAGCTACAACTTCTTTTCTTAATTCTGAGAAAGGGCAGTTATAAAAGAAGAACAGGTTGGCTTAAGCTAGTGCTTAAGACTGTATGTGAAGCCATTCAGGTATTGTTTAAAAATCAAACAGTGCATTGTATAAGGACGTGTACATGGTAAAACACTAAAGAAAAACAAGGCGACAATTAACAAGAAATTCAGGACAGCAAGAAGCTGTGGATATGGTTGACAGGGAAGAAGTGGATGCCTCTGGGAAGGCTTTGACGGTTCTAGTAACATTCTGTTCCTCACACTGGGTGGAGAGTATACAGGTGTTCATTTTATTTATTATGCTTTAAAATGTACATGTACACTACCTATCTTCTTTTGTATGTATGATATGCTTCACGATTAAAGGAAATGGGAAAAAGAATGAACATGGCACATTCATAACAACATGAAATTGAAATATGAAAGCTAAAGAAATCAGTAAGTTTTACTACTGTGAAGAATGAAATTGGCCCTACCACAGGACTGCTGATTTGACAGCTCATAATGTACTTCGACATGAATACTATGATCTTCTAATATTCTTTTCTTAAGCCTAAAAACTTCCACCTCAATTCCCTTTTTCAAAAAGTAAAAAGTAACTCAAGCAACATAAACTGCTTCAGAAACAGGGATGAAACTAGAGTGCAAATGCCCTTTAACCACCAGCGAATCCCATCACATTCCCCAGATATAATCATCACTTGAGGTGACAACCTCCAGACCTTATTCTATGCATTTATTATATCAGAGGTTTGTGTCATTGCTGCTGTTGGTTTTTACGTATTAATGGGGGATATATTTACACTCTGACTTGTGTTTTTCATCTATCAGTAACCATTTCCTTATTGATAAGTATTTTGGGTATTTCCAGATTTCTGTTGTCATAAATATTATAGAAATATTCTTCTACAGATAATCTTTGTGCACTTGTTCAAAAATTTCAGTAGGACAGATTCTCAGATGAGGAATTTCTGGTTATTACCAAGCTAAATACTGACTCGGACTGGCCACCACAAAAACAATACCAATTTAAATTTTTACCAGCCATGGATGACAGTCTGTTTCCCCATATCATGACCAATGCTATGTCATCAATCTTTTAAATTTTTGTCTAATGGCAGGAAAGTGTCTCCCTTAATTTGCATTTTTAAATAGTAAGTGAGGTTGATCACTCTACCCACACAAACTGTTCTTCATAGGCAAAAAAATATATACTTTATAGAATACTAAAATAAGGTATACAGACTTCCATATGTCCCACTTCTGGGTTTATTGCCATGAACAGGTATATTTTAATCTATGATTTTTTTTCTCCTCCAGCTTTTTATTTTGAAAAAATTCAAACTGTACAGAAGTTGAGAATGCCACAATGATTAGCCATATATCCTTAATCTACATTTTTGTGTTTGTTTGATCTTTCTGAACATTCAAATGCAAATTGCAGACATCATAACATTGAACCCTAAATATTTCAACATGTATCTTTTAATAACAAGAATATATTCCTATACAATCACAACGTAATTGTCATTTCTAAGAAATTGAAGAGACAACCACATAAAGTCCATGTTACATTTTCTTAAGTTGTTCCAATAATAACCTTTATAGCTTTTTAAATTTTTTCCCCAATATAACTCCAGGATTCAACTAAAAGACATACATTGCATTTAGTTGTCAAGTCTCCTTTAATCTAGAACAGTCCTCCTGTCCCCCTGCCCTTACTCCACCTGCCAAATTTTGGTCTTTTTAAGAATCTAGGCCAGCTGTCTCATAGAATGACCCACAATTTGGATTTGATTATTTCCTCATAAGATTCAGGTTAAATATTTTGGCAAAAAAAAAAACCAAAACCAAAACCAAAACCAAAACCAAAACCAAAACACAACAATACAGGTGGTGCTATGTTTAAATGGTGATTTTAATCCTTTTTCGGTTGCTTACATATAGCAGATATTTTCCTCCAATTTATTTGTATTCTAACTTTATTTGAAAACGATTAAAATTTTTTTCTTCCATTTAGTTCTGTGCCATATCTTTTCTATCTCAAGATTAATACCAAATATAGATATAGACCTGTCTCTATACCCTCTATCCTGTTCTTCAAATTTATTCTTTAATTATATTTTAATTTAATTAGAAAAGATGAGAAATGCGGTCAATTTCCTTGGTACTCAATAAGATTTTCTCACAACTCACTATGCTTTAATTTCCAAACATTTTGCATACATTACCTATCAGAAACCTCATATAATTAAAAACCCAAAGTATAATATACTAGTAACTTTATGCACAAGCAACAATGCAAAGCACAAAACAATATTTAACATATCCATTAGATGACAAATTCAGTTATAACTTCTCTAATTTGGACTTTTTCTAATTGAAACTAAGAAAAAACAAAAAACAAAAAAACCATTTTATTTTGAATAATGACTTTTCTACAATAGTCAGCTAAGTGAAATCTATCCAGCAAGTATCTCAATGTGGCTATGTGAAAAGTTACTTTCCATATGAAGCTAAGGATTTAATTGAACTGAATGAATCCAACCTTTTTCTCACTTTGAGAACAGCAGTACTAACTCTACAAATTGTTCTAGCAAAACTAATCTATGTAAATGTTGTAGGGTATATAGGCATTATTGTCAATTTGACCAGAATACAAAAAATAAATATTCACCGAAGAAATCTCCATGATCCTTCACTCAAGTCCTTTATCTCAATGCAAGAGCTATCTTAACAATTATATAATAATAGTGAGCAAAAAAGCTAGTGCTTAAGAATATATATGATCCCACTGAGGTACAGTTAAAAAATGAAACCATGGATTAATTAGGGAAACATATATGCTAACACTATGAAGAAAAGCAAGACAATGAGTCATGATGATCAGGAGGGTGGCAGGTGGTGGGTATAGCTGATAAAGAAAGGCAATGCTATCTTACGGTACTTCCCACATTCATTTAAACCAAAAATGTTCTTTTCTATACCTGTGGTTTGATTAAAGGGCTAAAACTGTGAGAATAAAGAAGAGTTTCTCTGAATTACTCTGAATTATACAGTATCATTTGGTTAAGTTTTAAGTAGAAAAAGGACTTAAATTTTTCTTCACTGGCTTACCTTTCCTCAGTAGGATAAACCACGTAATTTTTCTCCCCCAAAACATGTGACTTAGAAATAAAATTCCTCTCAGATTTTATTAATGCAACATAGAAAATCATTCTTCCTTTCAAAGATTCTATCACTGGTATGTAAAAACAAAACAGCATGCAAAAAAGATTTATAGGAAAATTCTACAGGGTGAAAAGAGGCTTCTTTTAAGTAATATGAAGCACAAGAAAGTGATTGCAGTAACTGTTGTAATTGATCATTCCTCTTCATTGTTGGGAAGAATCACTGAACCAGAGATTGAGGTGGAAAGAACTTTAGATGTTGGTCCCACATTTCCACATTTTGCTGATTAGGAAAGGAAACTCCAAGGCAATAGTTTTGAACAATATTGAACAGGAAACTCCAGATTTGAGAAAGCTTTGATGTCAAAATAGATAAGCGTAATGTGCAGTTTTGACATTTGCAATGGAAAAATGGTATTTAAAAAAGAAATAAATGTAAAAACTTTTGGACTAGAAGATAGGAAAAAACAAGGCAAACCCAAAAAACCTTTGTATCCCATTAGGACTGCTTTCTTTATAACCATGAACAGTCTGGGAAACCACGCTAAAAATGTAGAGAACAAATACTTACATGTTTTCTTTCGGTAGCCTTTAGAGATTTGGCAGCATAGTAAAAAAGCTGTGTCCCACACAAAGCTGCCCAATATTTTGTCCAAGATGCTACCTGGATAGGACAAACACAGGAATATACTATTACAATGCTCCTGGCTTCTTAGTTTCTTTACATTCTAAGTGCCAATGATCAAGTCCACTTCACTTCAACCAAAGTCCTAACCTCAGAGTTGAGCTGTATCACTTCTGAAATCTTAATCTCAAATACTCCTGTCACTGCCATGTAACTACCTGTTTGTAGACCCACATACTCAGTCTTTCCTCCAGCTACAAAAGAATAGTTAACCCCGATTCTATCTAAAGGCAAACTCAACTCTCTTTTTATGCCCTAGATTCCAACTCTCTCTCACTTTTTAAAGAAGTTTGCTTTACAGTCCCACCAACAGTGTAAAAGTGTTCCTATTTCTCCACATCCTCTCCAGCACCTGTTGTTTCCTGACTTTTTAATGACTGCCATTCTAACTGGTGTGAGATGGTATCTCATTGTGGTTTTGATTTGCATTTCTCTGATGGCCAGTGATGATGAGCATTTTTTCATGTGTTTTTTGGCTGCATAAATGTCTTCTTTTGAGAAGTGTCTGTTCATGTCCTTCGCCCACTTTTTGATGGGGTTGTTTGTTTTTTTCTTGTAAATTTGTTGGTGGGACTGTAAACTAATTCAACCATTGTGGAAGTCAGTGTGGCGATTCCTCAGGGATCTAGAACTGGAAATACCATTTGACCCAGCCATCCCATTACTGGGTATATACACAAAGGACTATAAATCATGCTGCTATAAAGACACATGCACACGTATGTTTATTGCGGCATTATTCACAATAGCAAAGACTTGGAACCAATCCAAATGTCCAACAATGATAGACTGGATTAAGAAAATGTGGCACATATACACCATGGAATACTATGCAGCCATAAAAAATGATGAGTTCATGTCCTTTGTAGGGACATGGATGAAATTGGAAATCATCATTCTCAGTAAACTATCGCAAGAACAAAAAACCAAACACCGCATATTCTCACTCATAGGTGGGAATTGAACAATGAGATCACATGGACACAGGAAGGGGAATATCACACTCTGGGGACTGTTGTGGGGTCGGGGGAGGGATAGCATCGGGAGATATACCTAATGCTAGATGACGAGTTAGTGGGTGCAGCGCACCAGCATGGCACATGTATACATATGTAACTAACCTGCACAATGTGCACATGTACCCTAAAACTTAAAGTATAATAAAAAAAAAAAAAGAAAAAAAAAATAAAGAAGTTTGCTTTTGCAATTAACTCCATTGCTTCTCAATCTCTCTCCCTCTACCACCATTATACAAATGAACCTTAATAGTACTCCCACCTTTAAAATCCCTCCTTTGACCCATCTCCTCACTCCCCAGACACCAACCAATTTCTCTTCTCCTTTTCACAGCATAACTTCTTGCAAGGGTGTCTCTAAATCTTGCCTCTACTTCTTCTGTTTTGCCCATTTTCTACTTAACTCATTTCATTTGGCTTTTGGGCCATCAAGGTCACTGATGATTGTAATTTTAGCAAAGCCTCTATCCTTATCATAGCCAGCCTCTTAACAGCATCTGACCCAGCTGGCCACTCTTTGCTTTTTGAAGTACTGTAACTGCTAGGCTTCTGGGATAACAGTTCCTTAGTTTTCCTTTATACTCTTCTTTGTGGGAGACCTTTAATGCTACAGAGCCCCATCTCCAACCTTGTTTTCTTCTCTAGCTATACTTTCTTCTTAGATAATCTATCATCCAGTTCCATATTTCAAATACTATCTATCTGTATGCTAATGACTCCCAAATCTATCTCCCTGCCACCTCTCTGCTGACCTCATGATCCATACTTTTTCAACAGCCACAATGACACCTCCACTTGAATGTTTAATAAGCATATCAAACTGAACTTGGCCAAGACTGACCTGCCCCCCATTTCAATAAATGTCCCCAACATACACCCATCTCAGTCCCCAAACCTAGAAGTTATCTTTGTTTTCACTCTTTCTCTCATACATCATGTTTAATTTATCATCAAACAACTCCAGCTTTTGCCTCTTACTTGATCTCCTCCACCTTCCCCAATTTCAATGCGTAAACTACACAAGCCTTCTTGTCTCCTGAACTCTAGATATTCACACAGCTAACTCACCTTCCTCATTCAGATCTCAGCTCAAATGTTTTGCCATGGTGGCATCCCTCCTTGCCCCATCATTCTGTATCCTATGACATTATTTTAAAGCCTTATTCTCTATTTCTCCTCACTGAAATGTAATCCAGGAGGAAGACACTTTGCCTCACCTTGTTCACTGCTCTATTTCTAGCATCCAGCACACAAAAGGTATGGTAATGCTTCAACTGACATGCAATTCTGAGTTCACTAGCCTGCCTAAGAGATTCTTGATTTGTATGTGCCTTTGGCTTACTGTGATATAAACAACAAAATAAGATTACTTATATGAAGCCCCCATATCTTCAAAAGCTTTAAGTGTGAATATATATCAAAGGTTTTATATTTCAAATTTGAGAAAGGGAAAAAAATTGTTCCTTAGTAGTCAAACTACTATGCTGGTGTTGAGGAAGAAGAAACTTCTTTGATACATATTAAGAGCTTTGTTCCACCAATCTTCCTTTTTTCCCCCCCCAATATAGTTATAGGTTTGGAAAGCATTTAATATTTGGATTCTATGTTATGTAGAAAACAAAACTGTATTACAGGAATTTAAATAAAATGATAAAACACAATCAAATTCCATTTTTTAGGGTTGTTACTCTTTATTTTCTATTTTACCTAAACTTAATACTAAAATACTTCTTCATGATATACTTTCAGGGTTCTCTAAGAAATAATTTTGTATACGAACTATAATGGGGGTAAAAAAAAGTACAGGATTTAAGCACCCTTAACACATGATTTAACAGAAATCTATATGGCACATATAATAACATTTTATGTTAAGAAAACATGGTGAAACAAATGTGTACAATATTTTCCCTCTTATCTGTGGTTTCAGTTACCCACAGGCAACCATAGTCTAAAAATATTTATTGGAAAATTTGAGAAATAAACAATTCACAGGTTTTAAAATCATGTGTTGTTCTGAGTAACATGATAAAATCTCACACAGTTCTGCTCTGTGCTTCTGTGGACATAATCTTCCCTTTCTTTGTCCAGCGTCTCCACACTATATGTGCTACCCTTGTGTCCCACTCCCCACTGCTTCCTTAAGTGAAAAGAAAACTTCTTGGATTAAGGAAAGAAAAATTAGACGCTAAGGTTGCTAAGATCCATGGTAAGAACAAATTTTGTATCTGTGAAATTGTGAAGAAGGAAAAAGAAATTCATGCTAGTTTTGCTATAGCATCGCAAACTGCAAAAGTTACGGTTACTGTGTGGGCTTAAGTGCTTAGTTAAGATAGAAAAGGTATTATATTTGTGAATGGAAGACATGAACAGAAACATGTTCCAAATGATGGTAATTTGGTTTGGTACTATCTGAGGTTTCAGTCATCCCCGGGGGATCTTGGAATGGATGACCCAAGGATAAGAGGGGAGGACCTTATTTAATATTATTTCAAGTCTACTATAATCAGGTTTTATTTTAATTGTTTTAGTACTTTTACAGAGTCTTATAAATTTGCATATTTTTAGAGGTGTATTAAAATATAATATGATGAAATCTTACTGTAGGCTTTTTGCCTTCTTTTAACAAAGTTTTTCTCCTGAGAACACCTTGAATAGTAACAGCTCCTGGATATAAATGTACTGCCAAATCTTCTGATTCTGCAGAACTATAATAACGAAGAAAAGAACACATAAGAGCTTTTGTCTACAATAGTCATCAAGTAGGTACTTAAATAAAATGTAATTATTCTTAATTTTAAAAGTTTGTTACTTTATTCAGAGCTGAGAAGACACTGACAATTCTAAAGGTTTATTAATCTTGAAATTTATAAGCTGTACAAAAAGTTGATTAGAAAGTTATTAAAGTCAGCAGATGGTTAAAAAACACACTTTATTACATATTTGAACAGTATAATTTAGAAAGAATGCAGTAATTCACTTTAGTAAATATTAAATTAAAAATTTAAGATTTGTTTTCTTCTTCTTAACATGCCACACTGCATCACTGTTGCAACCTTATTTTCCACATAGAAACTTTAAGTCCTGGTAGGAAAAATGAGGATTCTATTTGTTAAAAGTATTTAAGTATATATAAAACTGAAAATAAAAATACAAGCTCAAAAAAAAAAAAAGAAAACATGCTTAATTTAATTCTAAAATAGCAGAAAGAAGTAATAAAGTCAATAATAATATATTTTAAAAACTAGCTTTCTGCAATACATTTTAATAACATTTAAATGGTGTCAATGGATAAGTGATTATGGCCTAATAGCTCTCCACGAAAGGAAAAAACCCAAAACTCAAGATTTCCTTTTCATGTATCTTTTAAAAAAAAAAAAATCACAAAATAACCAACACTTTAATATCTTTCCCTAATTGATTTAAGGTCCTATGTTTAATACAATAATTAATGATTTCTACATGAGCCAATAAAACATACATGCTGACAAAAATGTCACTGGTGACTTGACATGAGCTGCAGAATTCCTATAAGAGCAATGAAAACTAAAGTTTGCCAGTTTATTCCTTTGTGATTATTTAGGTGTCTTCAGAGTGACTTAAGAACCTATAAACCAGTAGAAATTTCATGCTAGAGCTATTTATATTCAGGGAGGTACATGCACGGAGATTAGACACCATCAAACTGACGTAAAGTTTGCTTCTGAAGTTTGGTATTTTGTTGTATTATGAACTGATTACCCATCACCACTAAACCCCACGTTCCCAATCAATACACCACCCTTATCTGCCTCCACAGCTAATAACAGTCCAAAAGAGACCTGGTTTAACCAGACAAACAACTGAATGAATATGAATTTAAATATACAAATGATTATTTTATGAAATAGACTCGTCTACATTCAGGACCTGTAGTTTATCTGAAAAACTTTTTAAAAAGACAAATCAAATATAAATTTATTAGCAAAGAAAATGCTTTGATTACAACTTATGAATAAAGAAGCAGATTTTTATATTGTTCATTCAAAAACTATCAGCATTAGAAAGACTGGTGCAGTTTAAAGGCTACCAACTTGGAAGCATTTTAAAATATGTAACATTAAGATGCAAGTTTTAGCAATTAGCTCTGTGGATCAGAAAGAATAGTTGAAATTTATCTTCATATTAGATCTTGGAAAGAAAGTTTTTCTAGGTAATTTGTTTAGTTTTTAAATCAATTAGTTGAGAAAGAAAAGAAATAACGTCAGACCACACCCATGTAAGCCAATCACCAACACCATAAGGGAGTTCTGTGACCCCTGAATGCAGGGGAATTGTACCTGCTGGCCTTCATGTGACTTCGATAGCCATTTCGTGCCACTCTTGTCACCGGGCCGAGAGAATGGTATAATCTGTTCCTGTTGGATTCCATTATAAATTGTATATATTACATATACTTTTATTCACACAGTCATTATCAATACCTAGAACAGTATAATAGTTTCTTCTTGTAATATAGCTTTCTAAATCTTACAAAAGGATAGTATGTGATTGTTCCTCTTTCTTTTTTAAAGCATGCAGCATAGATTTCAAAAAATTTTTTCTTCTACTATTGACTCTAGAAATACTTAGAGGTATTTAGTACACACCATATATTTACATATACATTCACTTTCACAAATCTGCTAAAAGAATTAAAGAGCTATTTATAGCCAAATAATAAAAAAAAAACCTCAAAAATACTTCAAAAATTCTTACGTTTCTATACCACTTCTTGGATTCTAGTTTAAATATGATGCCCGGATTTATATAAGTAATTCATTTTTATTATATGTCCCTATGAAGACACCTAAAAGCAATGTGGCTTGTAAACTCATGAGGAAAACTTTATTTTCCTCTTTATCCTTTATAGTAAATAAAAGAAATGAACTGAGTAATATAGGCGTTATATTATTTCTACATTAACTGACAAAGCCAATAAATGATAAAAATGATGAGTTAATACTTATCCAAAATGGCACATAATAGTTAAAAACAAAAAAAATAAAAACAGACACATAAAAATACTGATACTTCTTTGCCTAGGAAAACCCGAAAGCACTGTTGATAAATGATGTTTTAAAGGAAAAGCATTATTTTAGCAACTTAAACAATGTATTTGATGTCTGTCTAGAAAAAAAGACAACAATGTATTTGATTTCTGTCTAGAAAATAAGACAATGTATTTGATGTCTGTCTAGAAAATAAGAACAGAAAATGGTATGTCAACATTCAGAGTACATTTTTCAAGTTCACTATCCATGAGTAGTACTTTATATCCTAGTTCTTTATTCACTTTCTATTATTTCATGTCTGAATCTTGCTGGGCAGCATTCATTTCACTGTTCTCAAAATGTTCTAAGAGCCCACTATTTTAAACTTGGCATAAGAAAAGTAGCTTTTTTTAGCCACACATGTCTGCAAAGCAAAACACCTGTTATAAAGCAAAAAAATTGTTTTGAGACGTGAAGGTAACATCATTAAATACTGTCTTCATAAGTAACCTGCTGGGATGAGAACAGATTATTTAACACACCACCATTCTGGTTAGTCATAAGTCAAGCAATCTAAAAAACAATTTGGTTAATCAATATTTTTTAAATATAAAGATTACAGTACACTCTATAATCAACTTCTCATGGTTTTACGTTCTTTCTAGAGGGAAAGACAATTTGAACAAATTCAGACAACATGTCAAAGGCAATTCTTGTGTTTTTCACATTTCAGGCAAACCCAAATGAACAGATCAGAAGTAAAGGTTGCAAGAAAAATAATGCAAAAATAAATAAAAATAATTTGTTTTTACTTATTATTATCCCGCAAAACAAAGAGAACAAAAGTTGGGAACACTGATAATTAGAGTAGAAAGGATCAAAAGTACTTTGCAATGTAGAACTTATAAACAAAATCTTAATCACATAATAGTGAGAAATCTTTATGAAGTCACATAAAAAATAAGGATCTATTTTTCCAATTAAACAGCATGAAATTTATGATTTCAAATAAAATTTAATTTAAAATTGTTTTATAAATTGTGACTGATAAGGAGTTATGCAATTACACATTTTCAACTTCAGTATTAATATGACATTTAACATTCAATCTAAATGACCCGCTTGAGTAATGAATATAGGCATTTTCAGAAATTTAGTTACTTAGTTCATATACAAAAAAGGGAGCAATTGTTTTGGTCAAAAGCCAAATACCTTATGAGTCTGAAATGGCAGAACTGAAATGGTCAGTGAAAACATAAGAATCCTAATGGACATTTAATAAATAATTATTTGCATTGTTTGGTCACATTCTTCAGATCTTATATGTACTTAGACCTCAATATAGTATGATATTTGCTACAGGCAGATGACAGATTTAACAGCTTAAAGCAACAAAGGAAGGAGAAGGGAGCACAACTTAGAGTATTTCAGTATAAAAGTGTACTCTGAAAATTTTGAGTTTATGACCATTTAAATTCTAACCTTAACTTGCTTTACTTGTATAATTTAAAATTTATTAAATCATTTTGTCCTTGACAAAGCAGCAGAGAATAAAGTTGACCATTCCACTAAATGCCTTAAAATTACTTAAATGAACCAGAACTTAAGGAAATAATTTTTTGAATATGTAAGTAGGTTACTTGTCGATGATCGGTTATTATTTTTAAGTTATAAATGTAAATGTATTAAAATTCAAATACATGTGTCATGCCACCAAATAAACATTTAGAGATAAGACTATCATTCATTCTCATTACTTACATATCCAAACTTAAATATCAACTTCTAATTTCTTTTACCAGTAGAAAACTTAATCGCTTAGGGATATGTAGTAAATATTATCTCTGAAAATTTGTATTATATTATTTAACCCAGACAAAATAAACTCCAAGTAGTTCAAATGGACAATTTATCTTACCTTTCAAAAGCAGGCCATGAGGTCTCTTCACTTAGTTCAGAACCATCGCTGCTACCTAAAATGAAAAGTTATCCTATTTTTTAAACATCAGAATTACCTCTCTAGTTTGCATTTCACAATGTAAAAATAAATTAATTAACTATGCTCATAAAATGACAATCGCATTGTAGATGAACATATCCACATATTAATTCTTTATTCTAATATTACTGCTGTTAGGTTTATTTTGCAATATATTGGAATACAGTTGACACGACAACCTAAAATAACAAAATAGCATAAAACATTTTTGCTTGCCTATTTGTAGCTGAAATTCATTATGTCAATAAACAATTTTTCCTACCATTAGAGAACATAAAATAACACAAAATTTCTTATTAGGTTTGTCATAATTTAGGACCAATATAATTATAAAATCCTTGACGATTCATGGCATACTCCTTTCTCTTTGTATTAAAGTCCATTACTACCCTAAGTATAAAAAGCCTAATGAAATCCACTTATTTGTCTCTAGAGACAAAGAAGATGGAATCTCTAAATTTAAAAAACCAAAAACCGGTGCTATAAAAATGCAACAATTTTCTCTTTGGCCAAAAGATCAGTTAAAATAAAATGGTCTTCAAACAGAACGTTTACAATTAGCTAGGGGGAAAAAAAACCAACAAAAAAACTATGGGGAATGAATTTAGAGAGTCCAAAACAGCTTAGTTTACTTAAATGTTACTTTAAAGGTAATTCTGGCTCTCAAAAAAATTAGGATGATTAATAGGTCAAGTTAAATTGTCTATCAGACAGGGTTCTAAGAAGAGAGACTCAAACTCTTTTTTACGGGCAGGGTTCTGAGAGACTCAAATTCTAATGCTGTAAGGTATCCATCAGACACCTGTAATGGATGCTGTAAGGTATCCATTAGACTCGTCTCTCTTAGAGACGATGGATTAATACCCTTCTACGGGTTTGCAATGGCACTAGTTATGTACCATCCTTGGATAAACTGAGATAACAATCACTGAAATAATTTTCTGTATTGTATGGTTCAGAAGAACCAGAGGTAACCCGTGGTGGTGGTGGGGTCTTGTACATTATCTACATTATCCTTTGATTTGTGGCACTATGTGGTAAAGACTGAAAATTTAAGCATAATTAGGATAACTTATTTGTAGAAAATGTAAGCATGAAGCTCAGAGTGAATATGCTTCTCTTAGTTAGCTAGGTGAGACTACTCAAGATTATCTAGGATAGATACCACATTAGAAAATGTTTAAGGCCATTGTTCTAAGCACTGGTTAATTTTCCCACAGTATTTTCAAAGCCTTCACTGTAGATTAATATTGCATGTAAAAGTTAAAGCTGAGGGAAAAACTCGTGTGTGTATATTAACACCTATCATCTTATGGTAATAGACTTATTCTTTTTTTCATATTGTTAAAGCTTTAAAACAAAAATCCTCGAAGGTAAATGCCTATGTGTAATGTTCTTAGTTTACAAACTAGGATGCAATGATCTTTTACTGTTTACTTACTTAGCCTTAGAATAATTAAAAAATAAACACAAATGCAAAAATCTGCTCTAAAAGAGAAAAGTCTCCACACTGAGACACTAACTGTAACTCAATAAAATAACTAAACAATAATCTTTTGGTAGCCAAAAGGACATCCATGAAAAGTAAAAGCTATAAACTACAGAATAATTCTCATTATAACACTTATGAGAAAGAGTAAAATATTATATACTTGAGAGCTGTAATTTTAAAAACTTTTTGCTTTAAGTGGCATGCCAAATTCCATGGACGTGTAGAAAATTTTTGACTGAAAAAAAGTTCTTTCTTTTGCAAAATTATTCTTCATACTGAGATTAGTATTTGCATATAGGCAACTTAGAACATTGATAAGAGGTATTTCAGGTGACAAACTTGCCTTCTTTTTAAAACATTTTATCATTTAATCACTTGTATTTTTATATAAAAAGGGGACTATCAGAATAAACAACTACTGAATGGTAATGGAGAGCTCTGAAATAATTTAATTTTAACTCTCAAGGGCTAAGAAAGTCAGTATGTTCCAGAAAATCAATCTCCTTTTGCATCTCCTTCTACTGGCTGTTTACCAATATTAAGATATTAGTAACAATAGGCTTAGTCCTTGAACAATCTGGTAGTTAATCATAGATGAAGACATATTCCTCCTTTATTTCTTTTTAAAAATAAAAGTAGCTATTATATGAACAATTTCTTTCTTTTTTTGAGACAGAATCTCGCTCTGTGATCCAGGCAGGGTAGTGCAGTGCTGCGAACATGGCTCGCTGCAACCTCTGTTTCCTGGGTTCAAATGATTCCTATGCCTCAGCCTCCTAAGTAGCTGGGATTACAGGCATGCACCACCACGCCCTGCTACTTTTTGTATTTTTAGTAGAGATGGGGTTTTGCCATGTTGGCCAGGCTCATTTTGAACTCCTGACCTCAAGAGATCTGCCCATCTGGGCCTCCCAAAGTGCTGGGATTACAGGTGTGAGCCACACTGCCCAGGCTATATGAATAATTTCTAATTGTAACAAGAAATAATGCTCATCTAGAAGACTCAAAAATTAAAAGTTTAGGAAGTAAAAACAAACAAATCCCTCTCTTAATCTCACATCCCTTTCTAATATGGTCTCTATTTTCTGCTCTCCTTCACAGTAGCTATCTCTGTTTCCTCACCTCTCATTTTCAAATCTACTCCAATCCAGGCCATGCCCTGACACTTCCATGAAGCAACTCTTATCAAGGTCACCAATGACTTTTATCTTGCCAAATCCCCCAGTCAATTCCCCATTCTCATCTTAGCTCTCTTGTTCTGCATTTGATATTCACACATTCAGTACTTTCCTCCTCCTTGAGATACTTCATCTACTGGGCTTTTGTTTTTTTCCCCTTACTTCACTGATCTCTCCTTTTTAGTTTCCTTTGATGACTCATCCTTCTTTTAAAAAATAATCAGACTTCTAAATGTGAGAATGTTTTTTTATTTATGTACACTCTCTCTTTAGGTACCCTCAACCAATCATGGCTTATAAATATGCTACCTCTCGTATATCTTCAGATCTGACCTTATCCCCGAGCTCCAGATTCACATATTCAACAACCTACCTGACATCTCCATAGGGACTAAACATGTCCAAAACACACCTGATTCCCCAAATTCACAAACGCTTCACTGCCCACAGATTATTACTCTGTCTTCTCTACCTTGGTAATAGCATCATCATCTAACTATTATACTTGTTTAACCCAAATAACCGGAAGTCATTCTTGACTCCACACTCTTCCTCCTCCCCATATCCAAATCACATGCAGTTAACTAATTCAACCAGCCCATATGTTCTTTTTCCACCTTCTTCAAATGCTTCCCCTTCTGGAGTTAAAAACAGCAAGCACTTTTAAAACCATCACAAATTATTAACTTCATCCCATATTTAACTGCTACTTTGTTTTTTTAACCAAATTTTCTCTGTGTGTGGGTGGGGTTTTTTTCCAGCCAAGTTTTATTAACATTTTTATTTAAAGTTAAATTGCAACCCTCTCAGAGAAGTATTTCTCACCTATTGATATTCCACTAGAAAGAGTAGAACTTTCAGCTTGGCCTCGAGATGGCGCATGGGGCTCCATGACGCTATCATCTAACAGATGTCTTGGTCCTGCATTTGGAAACGTTGCACTCTTAAATTCTGCTGTGTTCATTTTATGAATGAAACTAGAAACAGAAAAAAAAGTTCATATCTTTTATTATTGTTACTAATTTAAAAACTGCTCTTTATATAAAGATTTAGGACATAAAAGATTTACCTAACTGTCATACTCAGATCTTACCATAAAAGCCTCAAATGAACAGTTTAGGGAAAATGTTTTAGGAAACCTGGCCCTATCTATCTATATAATTAGAGCATACTTTAAAATAATTTCATTTTAAGCCTCGTGTCCGTTTAAAAAATTGTTTCCACATTCACTTTTGGAGAACAGTTATTACATTTCCAGAGAAATCATGGCAAAAGTGAACATGTGTCCCCATTTTGAAAAAACAATACTGCAAAACTAATGAAGTTAAACAAAAAGTCAGTTTTCTTTATATTTAGGAATAAAGAAAATAATTTTTATAGCTGTTATTTTTGACTTATTTTGGTTAAGACAAACAATGACTGTCTTGATATAAAGGTTGTAACTCTTTTAAAAAGGTATATTGCTATCCTGATTTTATTTATGATGGCCCTCTGTAATGTTCATTTATCGTCCCCAAATATAAATGCATTGTTGACAAAATCCCATTTCCAAATTCAGGTAAAGTAAGAAATAAAAGCTTTTAGGCAAACAAGGCATTTTACTGAATCAGAAAACAGCTATTAAGAAAAAAGAAAACTATTCAAGGATACCATTTTCTACTGAACTAATAAATCGACAATAAATCCAATTACAAAAGACTTAAAAATTTGAAAGATAAAATTAAAAATGCTGACTTATAACCCAAACTATGGCACTTCCTATGTCCATGTGGAATCAGATTCCGAGGGGATGGCGGTGTCTGTGGGAGCAAGGCTCCTTCAGCTGCCACACTTTTTCGTCCACTCTGTGGAGACGCTCCTACTTCAGGACCTAAGGGTTAAATTTAAAGAGATTTTCAAATGATTACTTTATTTTTCAGTCCCTTGAAAGAAAATATTAAATGTGGTTCAAATTTTGAGATAGTACTGATGTTAGTTCTATTTAATTGGCTTGAAGATGAGAAATATATCTAAGTCCTAAAACACAAAATCCCAAACCATACAAAATCCATTAATTTTTATCTTACTTATACTAAGTAGAGGCAGTGTAAATATTTTCTCCATTTACATAGGAAGAAGTAGAATTAGAAGAGACTAGCTTTCACATCACAGACAAAATCTGGACTAAACACACAGGTCTTCTGAGTCCTAGGTTCAGTGCTCTTTTAATTTTATACATTACTTCTTTACTCCTAGTTTCAACTTCCTCTTAGATAAAGAATGTGTAGGGTAGGTCAAACACTCAAATCAGAAATTAAATCTACACTGACACTGTTCAGGCTTATGGGAATAAATAAAAGAATATTATAAAAGTGCAAAACAGCACTTTAAGAATAAAAAGAAAAGCAAATTTAAGAAATTTAAACTGCAATGTTTTTTCTGCTTGGAATATTCTTCCCCATAGACATTGTCATGGTTTGTTTCTCCACTTCACATCTTATCAGATTAGCCATCAAATATTTTTAGAATATACATGAAACTTAGTGCGAAGGCCTATATTGGGAATTTTAAAAAAGGTACTTATCAGGGATTTCTTAAATAATGATAATTTTATGTTTTTTAAAAAATTATTTGTGGTATATGCATAATATCCCCATTACAATGTAACAGGTAAAGTAAGGAACTATGATTTTTACATTTTTAATACTTGGTCTAGTATTAAAGTGAACATTTGAAAAAATTACGTCACTAAAATTGACTTCTATAATTATTCAAATTAGTAGACTTTCCCATTAGACCACAGAAATTTCTAGTGTAATCAACCTTCATTGCCTAGGACAGTGCATTCTTAATCAAAAATGAATATTCATAACTACTTATCTATTATTTTCCATCTGTTGCATCTATCTATTTTCCTTGATTAGGTAGCATACTTGTTTGTACACTACTGACAAACTATAGCAACATTTTTTTTTTTTGAGATGGAGTCTTGCTGTGTCACACAGGCTGGAGTGCAGTGGCACGATCTCGGCTCATTGCAAGCTCTGCCTCCCGGGTTCACGCCATTCTGCTGCCTCAGCCTCCTGAGTAGCTGGGACTATAGGTGCCCGCCACCACACCCGGCTAATTTTTTTGTTATTTTTTTAGCAGAGACGGGGTTTCACTGTGTTAGCCAGGATGGTCTTGATCTCCTGACCCTGTGATCCGCCCGCCTCGGCCTCCCAAAGTGCTGGGATTACAGGCGTGAGCCACCCTGCCCGGCCAGCAACTTTTAAATTAAAAACCAAAAAACCCAGAAAGGACAGATTTTAATATCAAAATAAATTTTACATGCAGTATAAGATGTACTAAGTTTTTATTTACTTTGGAGTATATTCTTCCTTATTAGGTTATCTGATTTAGATTTGGTAACAAGAGAAAACTACGTACTGACCTACTAAATCTTCTCTGGAAGCAGCAGAACGTGGGGTGCTTGTCCCTGGTTCTATCTTTAATGAAAGCCTGAATTTTAAAAAGACAAAATACATACAATGATTAATTAACATTTGACAAAATAAGATTAAAGTTGTGTATTTTCTCACAAAAAAACTAAAAACATTTTTATGAAATAATCTGACCTATATACTTTTCTTCAAGAGCAATCTTCTTCTTTTTAAGAGACAGGGAATCTCACTTAAGCCTCAAACTCCTGGGCTCAAGCGATCCTTCCATCTTGGCCTCCCAAAGTGCTGGGATTACAGGCATGAGCCACCAAGCCTGGCCAAGGGCAATTTTTAATTAAGATGTTAAGTCTCTTATCTCTTTCATACAAAGCTGATCTTATGGTTATTTTAGGAAATATTAGGAAGGGAAAATACATTAAAAAGTTGTATTTAAAAACACAAAAATCTCCCCAATTACCCCAAAGTTGCCAAACCATGGAACACATTTAAAGATATTTGATGAATGACTAAATGATGATTCAACTTAGAGCTTACACTGATACTTTACATTTAAATTCAGAAACTTTCATATGTATTATTAAATATATTATGCAAATTATTTCTAAAAACACCTTATTTAAAACTAACCATCTAACAAACCAGCTGACAGAACTCTTCAGCAGAAAGATCTATACAAATAAAAATGTTGTTTGCAAAATTCCTAGTAAGTCCCTGTCCTAAGTCAGAGTTTATTATATGGTACTTAAGTTTCATTTAGGATAATATATCCAGTTCTGAGTTTCACAGTGAAAGAGATTATGATTTCTATCAGTGGAAGCTATTTCAGAAAACAGGACACTAAAGTAGTTGTAGAAAATGCTTTGGTGTAATACACGAAGCTTAATATTGCGGAGTCTGTCTGAAATTTAATAAAAACTGTTTAGTATTCTACTGACTAAAATTTTAAAAATAATTGAATAATACAAGAGGCATTTATAATGATAAATCTACTGTAGGTTATTAATTATATTCCAGTTATTTGATAATATAAAATGCATATATTGAATAGATAAATGATTAACCAGACTTTTTCTTTTTATGAAGATGTTTAATTATTTAGGCTACAAACTATACTGCATTCATTCATGTGACAAATATTTACTGAACACTTGTGTTGGGCACTGTGCTCAGAACTGGAATATAATAGAGATTACGGCAGACACGGTATTCCTGTCCTTCTGAAGCTTACAGTCTAGTGGATGAAAGAAAAGTAGTAAATGAAATAACTACCATTTCCCAATGGCACCAAAATAGAAAGGAACAGAAAGGGAGCTTATTGGGTGAATCACATTGCTATTGGTAGCACCTAGAAACTGACAGCAATATAAAAAGCAGAGGCATCTTTAAAAAGCAGTGAAGGCTAGTCTGAGTGCCAGCTGCTTACAACATCGTCAAAGCACCACATTATAATAGAGATGCTGATTCATTAAGAACAGATATGTTCAGTATTAAAATAAAATCACCCAGAAGAATTTTCACCCTGATCAAAAGACATGTAATTTGTAATATCTATACTGGCTGCCTATGTAGATGAAGTTGCCCAAAACAGGCCTTTTGTAAGTGACATGCCATTTCTATTTACAAATTTTTCATCATAAAAGGCATTTTTTCTAAAAAATGTTTTCTTCTAATTTTTTCTAATAATTTTAATGACATCTTAAAATGCTCTATTTTTCAAACACACTAAATTATTAGGCTCAGGCAACACACTGCATTTTTAGAAAAACAATCTGTCAGTGAGTGCGGTGGCTCACGCCTGTAATCCTAGCACTTTGGGAGGCCAAAGCTGGTGAATCATCTGAGGTCAGGAGTTCAAGATCAGCCTGGCCAATATGGTGAAACCCCATCTCTACTAAAAATACAAAAATTAGCCGGGCATGATGGCGGGCACCTGTAATCCCAGCTACTCGGGAGGCTGAGGCAGAAGAATTGCTTGAACCCCAGGCGGCGGAGGTTGCAGTGAGCTGAGATTGTGCCATTGCCCTCCAAACTGGGAAACAGAGTGAGATTCCGTCTCCAAGAAAAAGAAAAACAATGTCTTCTCTAGTGCCGTATGATGTCCCAATAACACCAAATGACTCATCGTTCGCCATGCAAAGACACTGTTTCTTATCCCATTCCTTTGATCATTCCATCCCCAGCATACTTTTCCTTACCCTTCACGTGAGACTAACTCCCACTCACCTGTTAAGATTCAGCCTCAGATGACGCTGTCTCCTGAAGCTGTTCATATTTCCTTTTAGTTTTCCTAGGTAAAGCTAGGTTAGGTCCCCCCTTATCTATGTTTCCATAGCATCCTTGGCATATCTTTATTATGGTTCTGTTTGAAATGTTTTATAATCATCTGTTTTGTGGATGTATCTGACATTAGACTGAGCTTCTTGAGGGCAAGAACAGTATCTTATTTTTATAATCCCAGCAACTAGCACAGTAACTGGCCTATAACAAAACCTTAGTAAATATATGTCAATGTAATGGAAGGGCTGCTCTGGTTCTAGCTCCTCATGAAAACAAAAACCAGTATAATAGCATTAGCTTTCCTACAAAAATGAAGGCATTATATGATATGTCAATTTACAGAATGTCAGAACTACCTCATGGCTTCACTGGCTAAGTCTACCCTTTTAGCAAAGTAAAAACTAGCTTTAATAAATATTGTATTATAATTTTACAGTAGTCACAAAAAATTTGCCATCCTCTATAAACTGTGCAAAATTTTCTTAGATTACATTTCAATCTAATAAACTTTAAATTCTTTTAAATTCAGTAAGTTTCTTGAGCCAGATAAATGACTAATAGCTACTTACTCACATTTTGAATTTTAAGATATCTGTTCTACATCTCACTGGACAAAACTTAAGTATTTATTAGGTAGGAGTTCTATGTCAGTAATTAGAGAGAAGGGAAAAATAGTGGTAAGTATAAGACACAGACCATCAAACTTGAAAAACAACCTAGGGCAACAGATTTGTGAAACAACTCCAGTCTTAAAAAGCTTCTTCATTGACTTCATACATTTTCAAGTAAGTAACCATGTAGAAACTTTTTGTAGACTGAAAATTGGTACAGAAATACAGTGTTGCTATTATGGTGTGAGAGAGAAGATGGCAATAAAGGCATTTTCAAACATCAGTAAAATTTTAGATGCATTTAGAAAAATTATTCCTAGATGTTTTCCAGAATTTCTATAGCCATTTACTGGGACTAATTCTGTTCTACAAAATTTTTTAAAAACTGTCAAAATCTGGAAAAAGGAAGTTAATAATCATTACCAAAGGAAGATAAAAAATATTTCTATGTAATGCATTAACACTGAAAAATAATCTAGTCTTTCACTTCGATAAATTTTTGAAACACGACCTTTTATTGGAAAAAATATTTGTGAAAGTGCAAAATTCAATTTGAAAGCTTGCGAACAAATGGGATAATAAAGCTAAATAAACTTTTTAAAAAAAGTAACAAATGAAGCTAAAAGAAAAGAGTGAAGCTTCAAGAGAAATAAGCTCTTTATCCTCCTACCTTAAAAAAAAACCCAGCAGTTTTGATGTAAACTGTATCAACGAAAGATGAAAGGGTTAATAATTTAAAAATTTCCTCTCCCATCTTTGGGAAATACTGTGGATATAAGGAGATAAAAATGGATATCAGCTATTTTAAAAATGATTTCAAACAATCTTTTTTTTTTTTTTTTTTTTTAGACGGAGTTTTGCTCTTTTTGCCCAGGCTGGAGTGCAATGGTGCACTCTCGGCTCACTGCAACCTCTGCCTCCTGTGTTCAAGTGATTCTCCTGCCTCAGCCTCCCAAGCAGCTGGGATTACAGGCATGCACCATGCCCGGCTAATTCTGTATTTTTAGTACAGACAGTGTTTCACTATATTGGTCAGGCTGGTCTTGAACTCCTGACCTCAAGTGATCCACCCGCCTCGGCCTCCCAAAGTGCTGGGGTTACAGGCGTGAGTCACTGTGCCCGGCCTCAAAAATCTTTAATAAAGAACTTGCTATAATACAGGGAAGAGGATAATTCTGCTACATTGGAGAAAGGTTTCTTCTCCTGAGACAAGATGGACCAAGTCTCTCAATCCGCAAAAACAATGAAAAACAAACAACGATGTGTCAATACTTAGCATTAAAGAAGAGTAATTTTTCTATTTTAAAAAGTTTCATTAATTTTTCTGTCTATTAAAAGACAAATTCTATAAGGATTCAATGATTGAATATGGGGGAAAGGAAGAAATTTAAATTAGAACTATCAAACGTTAGCTCTCTACAAACAGAGATAAAATATTAAAAAGAACAGATGAGGTATTTGTATATTGGCTCAATCATAACAAGTGATTAAGAAGTAATACATGTTAGTACCTTTACTGCTGTAAACCACTGGATTAGTCCTTTGTATGATACCATGTAGGATTTAGATGTTTAAATACATAGGGATAGAAAGGTGGAGGACAGGACAAAGTTATACAAACCACTTTTGAAGATCCAACCTACTTGTAATTATCGTCTTCCACAAATTTTTGTAGTTCTTCTATATACTGAACAGAGTTGAGATATTTTTGGACATGAGGCAACATGGGAATATCTAGGCAAAAGGTGATAAATAATTATCTGATAAAGTACATCTTAACCAGAACTTTAAAAATTAAGCTGAAAATAACTTAAAGGTAAATTAAGGCCACATGGCAGCAAAATTTAAATTAACTCTAGAAGGACATTACTGAGATAAACTTTAATGTGAATCTGAAGGTAATTTAGAAAATTACAGTTGTATATTGTTTGTATAGATTGTTGTATTTTTTTAATAGCTCCAATTATAAAGTCCCATATATTTGAGAAATTTCACAGAAAAAGATCAAGAACTATTCTAAACTAAACAGAAGACATGAAGGCAGTTACTTTTCTTTTAAAGAAACCTGGTTCCCATTTATAAATGTGGTTTATCTCCTCCCCTTGTAAGTTTCAAGCAAGATTAATTTAACATCACAACTTGATGCTATGTTTAAAATACTGAGAAAAGGACAAAATAAGGAATTATTTGATTTAACTTTCAGTAAGATTCTATCTCCACACTGATAGTTTTAGGAAGTTTTTGAGGTTTTCTAAAAAGTATAGATGCATGAAGCAAAAGTTAGCTTTAAGATAAATTCACTTGAAGTAATCATATAATGTAAAACTCAGTTTTTTAACCCATAAAAATTATGTATTAACAGCCTAACTTTATTTCCTATCAAACTGGAAGTATTTAAACATTAAAAAAAATGCCTTTTCTCATCATTTGGGCTTATGTAGCTGTTTCTATATTTGTCATTCCATAAAATACATGTTGGACAAAAACTGGCTATTTACTCGATAGTCTGACTCAAGAAAGTTGGTCAATTGTCACGAGGCTCAAGGGTCTCAGCTATACTTCCCTAATTGAAAACTGTAAGAACGATTTACATAATAGATCAGGGAGATCAAATGAGATAATAGAAAATGACTAGAAAATGACTTTGTAAACTATAAAGGGCCAAATAGCTGTGCTATAAAGGGCCAAATAGCTGTGAGGTAGTAATATTAAATACTTAGTGCCTTTGTGCTGTGAGAAAGTTGCTGCAAAATAGCAGAAAAGCAAAATATAAAAATAAAAATTTTAAATATTAAATACTTAAATTCCTTAAAAGCAAGATCTTAAACAGGATGCTACATAGTAAATGGCAAAATAAAACAAGCATTATTTTCCTTTACATTAGAATGGAAATAAGAAATTGATGTCCCCTGCTGTGTGAAAAGTGATCATCAGTGTGTGTAAATAAATCACTGGATTACAGCAATCTTAATGGCTTGGCATTATCCCCTAGAAACTTACCATATTCACAAGACTGCTGTAAATCAGAAATTATTCGAAGGATATTATTCATTAAATTTGATCTTTGCTCATTTTCTAGAATGCTGCCAGTTGATGGGTATGCTGAATCGATGTATGTTAAATCTGACAAATAGATACCTGAAATACAATTAGATAAATGAACGTTTTCTTAGTTGTAGGTTGGGAGACTATGACAAAGAAAAGGGGGGAAGGGGTTGTTTATAGATATATTCCACTGTACGCTACATTTAAAATATATTGCTATTAATACACTGAAGCCTGGGTAACATATGGTTACTGGGGCCTAGCTTTCCATACAGTTGGGGTCAGACATATACCAATTTTTTGTAATAATATGCTATTTTGTAAATGTCTTCTTGTGATTTCATTTTCAAGTATAGTTTGAGGCTAGAGTTAGAAACTCCAGCACATATGGGAATTAATGGAAAGGAGCTGAGTTCTTCAATTGGCTCTGCCTCTGACTAGTTTCATAATGGAGAGTTATTTTAAACTGAGAACCTCAGACTTAAAACCTATGCAAGTATCCATTTTCCAAGGTGTGTTACAACTTGAAGATATTAATTTAGCCAGCAGCCCAGCCACTGACTGACATAGGGAAATTATTTAATATTTGTTTTTACTCTCTTGCCTTGAGTTGATAGCTATCATTTGAGTCTTAACTACTTTGAAAATTATCTCAATCTGGTAGAAATGTTTTACATTTTAAAGATCAACAAATAAATTTCTGAAATGGTTCATGTGACTACAAATTGAAGTTAACTATTTCTTACCCTCCATGCTTTTTGTACCAACAAAAATAACACATCCTCTAAAATTTGGTTGTACTAGTCCTTAACATGAAAGGTCACTTATTTAAGTTTATTTCTGGAGAGTTCACAATGCACATGTGAAATGTATTAGACAACTATAGCTGGAGAGAAAAGAAAAACATACCTTCCTACTTTTACCCCATTACTTCATGTTCATGTACTCTCAGGGTAAATGCAACCAAAATGACATACCCACTGCCTTCTAAATAAACCCTGTTTTTACTCAGCTTTTTCTTATACCTAAAATGTTTTCTGGACTTATCTCTGCCTATCCAAATCTTATATTTTGCTTATCTAATTCGGTGTCAATATTCTCTAGTTTTCTCACAGATTCCAAGAAAGGAATTCAGACACTGTCTAGTCTAATCCTCTCCTTTTATAGATGAAGAACCTGAAATACATAGATAGTAAAGGGACCTGTCTAATGCCATGCAACCTGTTAGTGACAGCTGGATCTCAGACGTTTCACTTATAGCCCAATTTAAAAAAAAATTACTTATATTCTATTAAAAAATCATACATTATGTGTGCTTACTATTCACTTAATGACTTTTATGACTTCAAAATCTCATTACTTATTTTTTTTACATTTATATCTTATCTATTCAAGACTGCAAACTCATTTAAGGCAGTTGCTCTATCTTGCACTCCAAGAGAAAGAAAATCTTGTGCAATGTTTTGACAATAGGTGCTTAACATAAAAGGTTGGCATGGCAATCTTTTTACTCATCCTAGTATCATTCATTTTCCACTCAGTAAATCTTTACAGTATTCTTTAAGTCACCTATCATACTTTTTTTTCTTTAGATAACCTCAACTTTATTTCCCTATGACTCCAAATGAATCTTGAGGTTCCAAATGAAGCTGAGGTTCTTCCCACTTTCCCCAATCTTGGAGGAAGAATCATCTCTCTCTTCTTCCGAAATCTCAACTGTAATTTTGAATGCAATCGTTGCTGCCTCCTTCCAGACAACCACTGTTGCCTCTACTATCATTCACCCCTACTGGCTCCTTCCCCAGAGCCAGTATACATATTTTTTTTTAAACCATTTTTTTTTTCAAGAAAGAGTCTTGCTCTGTCACAGGCTGGAATGCAGTGGTGCGATCTCGGCTCACTGCCACCTCTGCCTTCTGGGTTCAAGTGATTCTTGTGCCTCAGCCACCCGAATAGCTGAGATGACAGGCATGCGCAACCACGCCTGGGTAGTTCTTGCATTTTTAGTAGAGATGGGGTTTCACCATGTTGGCCAGGCTGGTCTCGAACTCCTGGTCTCAAGTGATCCACCCGCCTCAGCCTCCCAAAGTGCTAGGATTACAGGCATGAGCCACTGCACCTGGCCCAATATACATGTTTAAATCTCCCCTACTTATAAAACAAAATCTAAGCAACTCTTCCTTCAAATCTGATCCCACGCCTCAAGATAACATCCTTGTCCTCCCTTCAACAAACACCTTGGAAGAGAAACATACAATAGTACACTTCTTTTATTCTTCGTTCTATTTTTAATGTAATATTTGATACACATGTGTCAGGAAAATTGTGAAAAACTTTGAGATGGGAAAAAAGATTACTGGGTATCCTGTCTCCAGTGCACCCATTTGGTCCTTCTGAGCTATTTTACAACTCTGCACAGCTGTTGAAAACTGGTAATACAAATTATTGTCCATAAACATGCCAAAGAATTATGTCCAGTGGGATCTAATCAGTGATGACCAATTTTGCAACTATTTGTAAATTTACTTCAGCGTTCCTGATTGCATATATGTGTGTTACTTTGAATTCTCCCTTGACACATTTTTGATTCCCTTATAAATTTAATAATTTAAATGAAAATTCTGACACATATTCATTTCATATTTGTGTGAGAATCGTGATTTCACAAAAATTATTGCCGGGAACGGTGGCTCATGCCTGTAATCTCAGCACTTCGGGAGGCTGAGGCGGGCAGACTGCTTAGGAGTTTGAGACCAGTCTGGGCAACATGGTGAGACTCCTGCCCTAAGAAAAAATTATCAACACATGTGACACTTGTTGTTATCAAACAACATAATAAACATTTGTGAAAGACCAGTCAACTTATGACTACAACATCCCTAAGGAGAGCTAAAAGATTCCTCAAGGAAATGGCACGGGGATGTTGGCATATGTACATCAATAACAGCAATAGAAGATATAAAAAAGTAGCACAGAAAAGTTTAAACAGGAGTTTCATAAGAATTCTGTGCAAAAAAATGTCATTCCTTGCTGATGGGATCAGAGAAAGCTTCAAGGAAGAAGTGGGATTTGAGCGGGGTACTAATGTGCCAGTTCTTGCCATTCTTCCATCTTATTAAACTCAGATGACAACTCGCCTGTAGTCACTCGCTATACTGTGCTGTCCAATATAACCACTTGCCACATGTGACTACTGTTTCGTGGGTCTATTCTGAATTGAGGTGTATTTGAATATAAAATAGACAAGATTTTGAAGAGTTAACATGAAAAATTAATGTAAAATATCTATTAACTTTTTTATTGGTTACATGTTAATATTTTAATATGTTGGGGTAAACTACTTTAAAAAAGAACTACGACATCATCAATACTGTTGCATCTATCTGTATGTTCCTTCTCTACTTCATCTCCTTGCTTCCTGTCCAGAAGTAACCATTACCTTGAACTTTAAGATCATTCCCTTATTTTTTCCCCGACATTTGTCTGTATTCCTACTTTTGCCTATTTTTGAGCTTTAAAAATCATATTTTATTGTATGTGTGGATTAAATAATAGTATTTGTAATGTTAGAAAAGTGTCTAGTATGGGAGGCTGAGGCAGGAGAATGGCGAGAACCCAGGAGGCGGAGCTTGTAGTGAGCCGAGATCGTACCACTGCACTCCCGCTTGGGTGACAGAGCAAGACTCCGTCTCAAAAAAAAAGTGTCTAGTACATACCAAGTGATTTATAAGCATTTATTAAATAAAATTTAAAAATATGGTCTTCTGTGGTTGCTTCGTCTATTTTGTTTCTAAGACTTGTCCACGCTGTTAAATGCTGCTGTAATTCCTTATAATGAGAACAAGCTAATGTGTGACAATTGTAACTCATCCATTTTATTTGATAGACTTTTGAGTTACTCCCATCCCACCCCCAACCATGTTGCTATAGACATTCTTATACACATCTCCCAGTACACATGTACAAAATTTCTTCAGGATATACAAACATGCCTAGGAGCAAAACTGCCAAGTGCTAAAGTATATTAATATTCAACTTTACAAGATGGTGTCACATTATTTTTCAAAGCTGTATCAATTCATACTCCCACTCACGGTATATAAGCTTCTGTTGATCCACATTTGTGCTAACAATTGGTATTATCCATCTCAATTTTGCCAATCTTCTGAGTATAAAATGGTATCTCTCTGTGTCTTAATTTTTATTTCCTTGATTAGTAATAAGGTTAAACGTATATATTTCTATGTAATAAATGTTTCTGTTCATTTTTTCTTTTGGGTTGTCTTTTTCTTATGGATTTCTAATTTCTTAATGTATTGTGGACACTAATTTGTCAGTTAAATTTTATCTAGTCACCCTTCAACACACTAAATAATCTGAAATCTGTATGTATCACTTATTTTGGCAATGGCATTAATAACTTTCTCATTCTAAGTCTTAAAACATCTCTCTTGGTCTCCCCTCCCTATGTAATGTCTCTGCAGTATTGTAACCATTCTCGTCTAGTTCTCAGGTTTTCCCTACCTTGAACTTTCGTATCTTCCCCCTAAGCCCCCACCATTCTTCTTTTTCCTCATGTTTCTTGTAAGCTGGTTTCCTGGAAATTGGTATCATGGTCTGTCATTAACCTTCCTTTACATTCTACATGTACTTTCTCTAGTATCTTAGTTCCATAGCTTTAGCTACTACCTAATTGCTGGTGACTTTCAAATCTCTCCATATAACTGAGCTCCTGACTTTCATTTTCAATTTAACATATCTAACCATAATCTGTCCCTAAATACCTGTCATTCCAATTTCCTACCCTGGCTAGTGATATTACTAAGTGCTCAAGTTAGAAAGCTCCAAACTGCTGAAAGTTTAAAAGCTCAGAAAGAATTTATTATCTCTTATTTTTCCCAGATTTAAGCCATTAGTGACTACAACATAATTACTGAATGCTCAAGAAACGATACATAATACAAATCAGAGGCCAGAAGCTGGCAGCACATCTGTCCCAATGTTTTTTAAAATCAGGAAGTATTACAGGAAAAATCTAAATGGCTCTTTTTTCCTGAATAATGGGAAGATCTGGCAACACTGTCTCATAATCCTTCATGGCCACAAGCACAGCTGAGAAGGTGCAGGCAGATCCCTTTAAATTAACCAAAAGGATGCCAACTTGCCATAAACTTCATTTCCCTCCAGTATCTTACTACTGATTTACTTCACTGATTTATATTACCTGCTCCATTCTTCTTGTGAGCATTTGCCTTTCTAGGCCCTTGTGTTTGCAACCTCTGGTATACCTATATATGGCATAGGAATTCAAATAAATGATTCTGTGAAAGAGGTAGAAAATAAGCTCAGACTTTAAATAAAGGATGTGGATCAACAGTGTGGCCTAACAGAAAGAGAAACACAGCACAAGCTACAGCAATAAGGAAGGGAAAGCACAGGTATGTAGAGAAAGCCCAAAAGTTTTATCTAGAAGCAGCTTACAGCAACTAGGTAATCAATGACAGAGAGTGTGGCATAATGCTTTGGCATTAGATTCAAATCCCAGTTCCACTACTTAGTACTTAAGTGCTAAGCTAAGTTACTTAAGCCTAAGTTTGTGTTTCTTCAGCTACTGAGTTATTTAACATTTCTTCAATTAATGAAATACAATAGTATAGTTGTACTCAACACTTATTCATTTCTTCCACCACCTTATTTCATAGCAGAAGAACCTTGCCAGAGGCAGGTAAAGTGATTTGTCTAAGTTCACATAGCTGGCATAGAGTCAGAGCTTCCTTGTTTTTTACTCAGTTCAGGGTTATGTTTGTTTTTAAACCACACCACATCAATTAATAACAAGAATGACCTTTTACAGAGAGGAGAGGTCATTTTGTAGAATAGGAGGATATGACATTATGTAACACCAGAATGTAATATTTAAAAGTCTTAAGCATCTGAAAGAATTTCACTTATGTTTGGTAATTATATATAAAGGCTGTTTTATCTTAAGACACATTACACAGTAAGACATAACATACTACAACAACATCAAGTTTCTTGTAAGTTTAAAACCTTCATTAGCAACTTAGTAAAATGTTTACAAATTCTTCTAGGCTATAAAGAGTATTTATTACATTATTTAGGTGGCTGCCTCCTGACAAAGTCTAGCTCTTGTTCTTTGTTAACAAAAACCAAACTCATCAGCCTGCAACTACTTCTAAGTGAAGTGGAGCACTATTTTTTTTTTCGGTATTCAACTTAAAAGATCTCTGGCCAGCAGACTAAAATGTTTGTTTTATAATTGCCCGCTGAACTATGATAGTTTGTTTCCAGATGGTGCCCTTCCTTCAACCTGCACACAATCTCTCCTTGTTCAAAACTATTCAACCTCCTGCTGATCCCACCCCCCTATTTAAGGCTACAAAGAGGAAATCCTAAGGAGATTCCCGCCCCCAGTCTCCAGCAATTTTTGGTGATGTAATATGTGGGCTGAACTTGAGTCTACTGAGAAAGAGGGAATCACTATTCAGGGGTACTGTATATACAATCTGGGTCAGCTGCAGCTGGTTACTGCATTTCTCCATGTGGCAGACAGAGCAAAGCCACAACGCTTTCTCTGCTGGATTAAAGACGGCCCACAGACCAGAACTTCCACTATACTACTTAAAATTACATAGGTGGCTTGTCAAATTCAATTGATTAGTATTGTAAAAGGAAAAAGAAGTTCCTTCTTACAGCTTGGATTCAACGGTCCAAAACAAAAATGCAGCTGCCATTAAAGTCACAGATGAACAAACTTCTACACTGATTTTTAAAATCAAGAATAAGGGCAGCAAGTTTCTGGATTCACTGAATCAACAGACACAAAAAGGTATTTAATATTTCTTTTATTTAAAAATATTATGTATAGCAAATGCATAACTATTTTATATTTGTAGTAGAAATTTCAGAATCTTTTACTAAACAAAGACCTTTGGAATATACTACAGTTTATCTCATCTGAAAAAGGTTTTATCTTGCAACTTGACATAAAAACATTAAGTACTGTGCAATGGTTAATGCATTATTTGAGGTTCAATTTAATGATGTTTAGTGTATATGATTACAGACTGATACATGCATGCCATGCTGGGTTTCTGAAAACAAGTGCTTTAGTGACAGTAGAAAGAAATTTTAACAAGTAACAGATTAAATGTATAAGGCTTACAGCACAATGATTAAAAACAAAGGAATACAAACTAAATAGTCGTGAACACAATTAGTTTCTCTTCCTGCAGCCACAGTGTGTGTGCTGAAGATATACATAAACTGTTGGATTTCTCAGTGTAGTCATAAAACAAAGCTAAGATACAAAAATAGTTGAAAGTCTTTGCAACAAAATCTCAATTACAGTATAACCAAATATTAAGCAGAAATTCTTGTACAGATTTAAGATTAATCTATGGCATTTCTTGTTCCAACTCAAAATTTTAAATAGCTTTCCAGGCTTACATGTAATAGTAATTTAATTTGGATGACAGAAATTAAACTTGCTACAAATGGAATCACTTGGAAAAGCTAAGTTATTGATATACACACAAAAGCATTATGTAAGTGGTATTAACAATAGAAAATAAGAACCCAGAAGATGTAATTAAATTCATGACTAAAAGGCCAAAAATATGTAATATTTTAGGTAGAAATAATTTTGTTAAGCACACATAAGAGGTTTCCTTCAATATTCTATCTGGGAGCTTTTTTTACATGCATTATAAAAACTATTAAAGATAAAATTACTCGTTACCAATAGTATGCCTTAAACCAAAGACACTTAAGTTTGTTAGATTTGGGGCTCCTTTAGCCTTGTAAAAATTAAAGATATTAATGGTTAAGAATCTTGAACAAGCAAATAATGGTAAAGCTAAAATTTTTTCCAACTTTGCTTTTGTGTCCTTTCCTTAAAGATTTAAAACTGTAAATGCTGGCAGGATTTCTGTTAAACACATATTTTACAAGAAATTCTAACAAAATTTCCAAGCAACAGTGGATCTGAAATACTGTCATCTCTCTTTTTTGTTGTTGCATGCTATGGGAAGTGCAGGACTTCATTAAGCCTCAGTTCTTACTGACGCTGTCTTAAGGCAGGCATTTAATCTGAACCCCAAATTACACAGATAACTATTTATCCTTTTCTTAAATATATCCAGGGGATTAGATTGTTCTCAAGTCTCTTCCCAGAACATATTTCACAATCTAGAAATTCTTTATCTAACATATCCTGAATGCTTCATAAATTTAACTTCATTGCCTCATGCTGTTTTCAGTGCATGACACAGCCAGTTAAATGCCTCTGTGAGTTTACCATCTGAAAGGAGGCAAATCCTGACTTTCGTTTCTTCTCTCTACTAGCTGGCAATATAGCAACTATGAAGAGAAAAGCTACTAATAAAATTAACCCAACGCATAGAAGACTTTTTTTTCTCTTCTAAAAACAACTAAGTAAAGACTTAAATTTAAACGTAAGTATTCTATAACTAATTTATAACATTCTCTTGGGGCCTAGGAAAATTTTAACATATACAGAAAGTTTTATGAGGTAACATAGATTTATGGATCTTTTGCTTCAAAACTGAACATATGTGAGAAAATATTAAATAAGAGAATGTTTTCAGAAAACATAACAGTAAATGTATTTTTAAAACCAGTTCTTTACTCCTGACGTAGCTAGTCTACTACTTAAGAAATGTGGCTCCTTGCCCTGCTTTAAGTGACAGTGAAGCCAATACTTTTGTATTTATTAAAAAAAAATTATATTTATTTAAAAACTAAACTTTTAGTTGCCTCCTTTAAATGCTAATTTAGACCACTTTCTCTTATGGTAAACAGTGATTTATCTTATGATTTAATCTTATAGGAACCACAATGAGCCAAGGCAGAATACACACAAGGAAGCTGTTTTTGTTTTAATTTAGATTAGCATTTTGGTGTTTTTTGTTCTTCAATGACAACACTGATGCAAAGTCCTAACAGCAGTCTTGGATGATGCGCTTTTAGCTGTTTTATAAAAATCTGTGTCTGGTATTAATACAAGCTGTTCAATCAGAATATTGCTCATAAAATTCTATTTGTTTTAGAGTTTTATATTACTTCCTGCATTTTCCTTGTTTTGGTAGTTTATTTCATAGTAAATATTATTTAAGTAAAATAATTTTATGATCTCAGAGTTTCCATTCTAGTATTAAAATGAATGGACTTTAGCAGTGGTAAGTTAAATTAAATATATAGGAAAAATGATATGCATGTGCCCAGGAGGATGATGGCTTTTATTTCTTGTCCCTAGTTTTTAAAATAACCCATATCTAAATTCCACGAATCTGGAGATATAATAAATGTTTTATTGGTTTTTGGTATAGGTAACTCCTACATAGTAAAAGTCTATTTTTAAAAATAAAATAGATGACTGTTTCTAAATTTTCTATATATGTCAGAAAGCAAGGTATGAAAACATAAAAAGCTAAAAAAAATACCCATGTGTGCTTTGGCTATCAGTCAGCAAAAGAAGGCCTCGATAGAAATACAGATTGTTATGTCCTCCCTATCTTTTGTTTTCATTCCCTCTCTTGTTAGTAAAATAATAATAATTCTCCATACTCCATCTATATTTGCCTTATTTTCATTATCTACCCATTTTGAAGACACTATTCAATTGAAAAATACCAAAAAAGGAACATGGTTTTAGAAAGTGAAAGTAGCAGTAGTCTTCATGACGACAGCATAAGAGTTATATTTCATTGACATGACCTTTGTTTTCGGGAGGGGTCCATAATCATAGGTTAGATATATAACTATCAGCTGACAGAATACATACAGAAGGAAAGAAATTGCCGCAGAAGAGTCTGAGATGTAAAAAAATGATCTGGCAGAACGTGGACACAAATTCTACCAAAAATTATCCATAAATACTTTTGCATAATTAAGTAACCGGTCAATGAAAAGGGACATAAACCAGGAAAAGGCAGCGAAAAACAAGAAACATAAACTTAAGACTCCTCTGTGGTTATGACATGACTAGGGTAAAAATCATAGGTCTAGAAAAGTTAGGAGTAGAAGGTTTGAATCCCATTTGAGTGATTTAGCTTCTCAAGGATTTTCCTCCTTTATAAAATGATACAGCATTACTTCAGTGTTATAAATGCAAATAGTTAACATGTGTTAAGCTACATAAATACAGGGGATTGAAAACATGAACTCTGAAGTCTTCAGCCTGGATTCAAATTCTCGCTCCATCACTATGAACCTGTGTGACTCTTGATAATAAGGTACTTAACTTTTGGATGCCAAGTTTTCCATCTGAAAGTGGGGATCATAATAATCTACTTCATAGGGTTGTGGTGATAAGTAAAACATGAAAATGGCTTAAAACAGTGCCTAACACTGAACAAGCACTCAATAAATATTAATTACTGTTATTGTGTTGTTATTAACAACAGGCATAAACAACTTAGGAGCTGGTTTCTTAAATCAAGAAACAGGTACTTATGTGGAAATTTGGACAGAAAAGCTCTGTCTTAGGGTATCCACTGCCATCCTTCAAAAATGGCAGATAGGTATGAAGTTCGCAAGAGTGAAAAGGTGGCCTGTAATAGACCAGCTCGTTAGTAGATCTGACAGAGTGAACATACCTTACCCATTCTACTTCTGCTACTCTTGTGGGAGGTAACTAGAGAGAAAGGAAAAAGTCTTGGCTCTTGAAACTGTTTCCTCAGAAGAATTTGTACTATAAAGAAGTATTTCTCATCTGCTACAGCAAAAACGAAACATTCTAAGCACATATTTTAGTATAGGTGCTGCTTCTATAAATACTGACTATGGGTCAGAGAATCCGATCTAGACCTGGTTCTAATCCTTGTGTGGCCTTAGCCTTCAACATGCACAGAGTACAAAGAGGTTCTTGAATGACAGGGTCTCTAAGGCATTTCCAACTCTGACATTCATATTCAATTACAGACAAGTTTCTTTCCTTGGTAATGGTTGTAGAAAATTACTAACATTTTACTAAAATACAGTTCAGTAGGACTTCTGTTAGAAGAACAAACCTGCTGAATTATCTATAAGCTCAGAGTACATATAATTACAGTTCAGGAAATATAATTACCCACAATGACTGTGAGCATTCTATCATTCTAAAACCTGTCACTAATCCCAAAAGGAGATGCTATAAAAATAAAAAGCATGTGATGCTAAAACTATCTGGGTTTAGATTTCCCTAAAATCTTTAACTTTATTGAACATTTTAATGAAGATGACATAATTTATTACAGAGGATCAATTTAATTGGAATTGCATGGTATGAATCTAAAACATTGGCTAGTAAAGTCACCTGGTAATTTTAATACTAGTTAGGCAAGAATGTTTTAATTAATGCCTTACAAACACTGTGTACCATTTTCATAGTCTTAAGGCAGTGAGCTTTTTAAAGGTAAGAAAGCTATCTTATCAGGGTCTCAAAAGCCTCAACAGCACTAGCAGCGTATCTTTGCACAGAGTAGACACTGACCAAAATCTGCTCAATAAACTGGGGAACAAAAAGGATTACAATAAGGTGGTAGCTGGAAGAGTTATTCTCTGAAACCTAATCTTTAAACAAATGCCAAAGTATTACAACTTAATATTAAATTTAAGAAATTAATAAAGTTAATTCTAGCCTAATCTATTAACACCAATAAATATTCAGTTTTTCCCTCAGATAGTTTTTAAGATTACTGACTTTAACATAGATTAATATGAATTCTTTTTGCTTTTTCTCCTTCACTGATTTGTTTTTCAAAAGACATCATTTTACAACCTCATTTCAAAATGAAGACTTTTACCTGGACCCTAGGTGTGCTATTCTTCCTACTAGTGGACACTGGACATTGCAGAGGTGGACAATTCAAAATTAAAAAAATAAACCAGAGAAGATACCCTCGTGCCACAGATGGTAAAGAGGAAGCAAAGAAATGTGCATACACATTCCTGGTACCTGAACAAAGAATAACAGGGCCAATCTGTGTCAACACCAAGGGGCAAGATGCAAGTACCATTAAAGACATGATCACCAGGATGGACCTTGAAAACCTGAAGGATGTGCTCTCCAGGCAGAAGCGGGAGATAGATGTTCTGCAACTGGTGGTGGATGTAGATGGAAACATTGTGAATGAGGTAAAGCTGCTGAGAAAGGAAAGCCGTAACATGAACTCTCGTGTTACTCAACTCTATATGCAATTATTACATGAGATTATCCGTAAGAGGGATAATTCACTTGAACTTTCCCAACTGGAAAACAAAATCCTCAATGTCACCACAGAAATGTTGAAGATGGCAACAAGATACAGGGAACTAGAGGTGAAATACGCTTCCTTGACTGATCTTGTCAATAACCAATCTGTGATGATCACTTTGTTGGAAGAACAGTGCTTGAGGATATTTTCCCGACAAGACACCCATGTGTCTCCCCCACTTGTCCAGGTGGTGCCACAACATATTCCTAACAGCCAACAGTATACTCCTGGTCTGCTGGGAGGTAACGAGATTCAGAGGGATCCAGGTTATCCCAGAGATTTAATGCCACCACCTGATCTGGCAACTTCTCCCACCAAAAGCCCTTTCAAGATACCACCGGTAACTTTCATCAATGAAGGTGAGTTACCTCTTACTGTAAAAAGTGGGAGTATGAGGTTTATATTTTTATGCCTTATGAAACAATGCTCATAATAAATGCTTATTCATTTTGCGATGTTATATATGTACATTAAAATTTCTATTGTTTTTTATTAATATCAAGAATTGAACTTAAATACATCTCCTCTTCCAGCTCTGAAGTTCCAGGAGTTTATAAAAACTTAATGTATTCTGTGAAAAAAACCAGTCTTCCATCCAAATTCTTATGATCGAGGGGCTACTATTCTTGAGACAGGAATAAGTACATGCTCCACTCCGAACCACTCCTGTGCACCATAACCATCCTATCAGCTTCTAGCTAGGTCGTCGCTGCTACCCGACAATTCTTTTATTTACTTCCTGCTGCTTGTACATCATCTTCTTCAAAAGAAACATGTAAAATTTTGCTTTCACTCTCTTCAAGCTGTAATTACACCTCATTATCTCCACTCTCAGCAGATGACTCAACTACTACTATACTGAGTAAGTCTAATCAGGTCCTGGGTTTTGTTCTTTCTTATCTTGAAAGCATCTGTACAAAAGCCATGCCTTCTTGCCGTCAGCCTCAAGAAAAGGTATCCCTCCTATTTTCCAAGGCTAAACAATTAGTACTGTGTATCCTAAGAAATATAAATGTTCATTATTATAAAAAAAAACTATTGCATTGATCATGCATGATTCCAAACTCTACTTTTAAATTTCATTTCTTTCTCTCTTCATGCATTCAATGTCAGTCACTGATCTAGGTGTCCAGAAAGCAAAGATGAATAATTCATCTTTGTTTCAGTTTACTAAACCCACTGCTAACTTTCTGAATTCAGTATTTTATGTTTATTTTACACTTGCATCCATTTTCTCACAACTCATTCCCCAGAATCCTTTACAAGCTGATTTGCTTCCTTAGAGTGGAAGGGAAAACCCAAATGCCCCAAAGCAACGAGTAAATAAATTGCAGCTCATTCACTTATTGAAAAGGCAGGACATAAAACATATACTATGAAATAATTTTAAACAATAACAATAAAAACACAGACTAAAGACTAGAAAGAAATATATCATGAAGTGGTTTCATCTCTCTGTCAGTGAATACCACTTCGCTATTCACAGCCCTGCTTTCCTGGCCTTCTACATTTTAATATTCTTCCTTCACTTCCTATTTCTTTAGGTCCTTCACTGGCATCTTCTTCCTTCTATGCCTTAAAGTCTTTCTTCAAGATATTCTACTTTAGAGTATTTTGGCTTCAAGTATCACCACTGCTCAGATGATTCCTGAATGTAGCTCTCCCTCCTGATTTAACCAAAGCTAGACGTTTGCATTTGGATATTTCACCATTACCTCACATGCTACTGCTTTCTTTACTGAAACACCTTCTTTCAGCTTATCTGTCGTCAATTTAGCAGATCTCAAGGCTTAACTCAAATAATACCTCTGATGTTATGACTTCCTAGATTCAAACAAACACACCTAGGTGGCTTTTTCCCCAAATCACTGACTATTTCTTAAACATGTTTTCTATATGATATTACACTGAAGTTATTTATTTATGTCTGTCTCCTTGCTGGTCTGAATGCTTCTGGAAGACAGTTAACTGTCTTTTCACCATTTGATCTCAACATCTCTGTTTTGATTAATGTTGTCATCCATTTCCAAATAAGCTTGGCTCATCTTTGATACTTCCCCAGCTGCCCCATACACAGTCCACTGAATTCTACTCATGTCCCCTTTTTGGTCTCTTGTGTGCATGTCCCTCATTTCTATTCAGAGCCAGAACTCTTGTTTAGATTCAAATGATCCACAGCAGCAGCTAGAAGACAGAGACTCCATAGGCTACCAGCTGTGTGATCTTAGGGGAAAGAAAATTATCTGTGCCTCAGTTTCCTTACCTGTGAAATGGGAATAACAGTATTTACTGCATAAGATTTAACAATTGAAGAGTGCTTAGAACAGTGCCTGGCACTCAAATGTTAGTTCTTACTATGAACTGTGTAATAGCTTGCCAACTGGTGTAACTCTGTTTTCTCTCTCCATCAAAATATATTTACATTGCCAGCAGATTCATCTTCTTAAACTACTCACATATCTGCTTCTGCAAACAGAAAAAGTCCAATTTGCTTAGTCTGGCTAAGAATAATGTCCTCCTAAAGAATGAAGCCTACTTTCCTAGCGGACCTTCCACTAGTTTCCTTCACAAAAACCATCTGTTCCAATAAAACAAATTCACTCATTTTCCCCTAAATATTTTCATGCTTTCTGCCTACTCAAAGAATAAGGCTCAAGCCAAACCAACCAACCAACCAACCAAATAAATAAATAAATAAATAAATAAATAAATAAATAAAAAAAATGCAACTCCTCCTTGAGGCCCTTGTTGACGCCTACAGGTTTGAAGTGATCGTTCCTCTCCATGAATACCTCTACTCTCTGTAACATACATAAGACATTTTGTATAGTCCCTCTTAAATTATCAATTATCTTTACATACACTCAGAATACATCTAACTAAGAGGCTTTCCAACTATATTATAAGCTCCTTCCTGGTAGATGGTTACAGTGTCTTACCTGCAGTTGCTAAATATGTGTTAGTTGATTTGGTGACATTTTTATAGAGCTTCTTAAAATTGTCATTCCAAAGACCCTCATGAAAGTAATTTAATACGTTATATCATATTGGATTTGTTCATTTTATACTGTTCTAAGTTACAGTAGCAATAGGCCAGAGTATCATTAAATTAAGTAAATGATTATCATTATTAATATCCTCGCCGGGCATGGTGGCTCATGCCTGTAATCTCAACACTTTCGGAGGCCGAGGCAGACGGATCACTTGAGGTCAGGAGTTTGAGACCAGCCTGGCCAACATGGTGAAACCCCGTCTCTACTAAAAATACAAAAAAGTATTGGGCATGGTGGTGCGTGCCTGTAATCCTAGCTATTCAGGAGGCTGAGGCAGGAGAATCACTTGAACCTGGGGGGCGGAGGTTGCAGTGAGCCGAGATCGCACCACTGCACTCCAGCCTGGGCAACAGAGTGAGACTCAAACAACAACAACAACTACAACAACAACAAACAAACCTCAATCCCTTTGATTTCCAAAGGAAAATGCAGTGTATAAAGTGACCCACTGGGTATAGAAATAAAAAACAGAAAAAAAATTGCTTTTGATATCCTTTAAAAATTTTGTTTTATGTAAGCTTTTATATAATTTATCAGTAGTTTGTATACGTAAGTTATAAATAAACATAATTGAGCTGTGTGAATTTTTTTAACTGATGAGGTATACAATTATGTAAGTATGAAGACAACTGCCATGGAGTATTCTATGTGATCCCTGAAGCTTGAGTGGATGGTATAACCAATTCTAGCAGAAATCACTATTCACATTTTTAAACACTGACAAACTTTTCTAAGAAAATGTTTATACAAAATGAAACATACCAATTCTATGTTTTATTATACACTTAGCATTAGTACAAAAAAAAAAACCCACGAATGCTACAGAATTAAACCTCATATTAGGGATTTAGTATGTCAAAAGTCCTCTTAAACACATTTTGTTTTAATGAAAACATGGTGTACCTATCCCCAGTGAAACTTTCTTTAACACAAAAATTAAGGGCAGATAACTTTTTCTGTTATTCATTATTTGTTTTATGTAAACATTAACTTTTTACTTATTTTATTCTATAAATGTGGATCTCTTAAATTCAAAGGGATAATCTGCTAGACCATAAGAATTACTATACTAATTAGTACATTAATGAACATATAAGGGAAAGAGCATGGAATTAAGAACACCTGGTTCTACCACTACCTTTGTTATGTGACCTTGGGTAAGTCACTGCCAGTTTGTGTTTTCTCATTTGTATAATGAGAGTGCTGGACTGGATTATTCTAATATCCTTTTCAAATTCTAATATTCTGTGATGCTTACTAAATTAAATTACTACAAGCAACAACAAATAGGCTGGCTATTTTCCTTACACAATGTGCTCAATTATTCACTTATGTTATTTTTACATCTGTCTGGAAAAAAATGTCTCAGGCTGTTTAGGTGCTTGCACAAAAAGGGTAAAGATGGATGGCTACTGGTGTACTTATGTATGCTCTGGCACCAAGAAATTCCTATTACTGTACTTTACATGGAGGTACATGGTCATTCTAAAGTCTCCACATGCATAAGGTGAAAATATACAACAATGTATATTTTAAGAGGTGTTTAGCCAGTTACAAAAGATAAACACTGTATGAGACTCTACTTATATGAAGTATTTAGAGTGGTCAAATTCATAGACAGAAAGTAGAATTGTGGCTGCCAGATGTTAGGCGGAGGGTGAATGGGGAGTTGTTTAATGGTTATTTAATAGTTACAGTTTTGCAAGATGAAGAGTTCTGGAGAAGGATGGTGGTGATGGCTGTACAATATAAATGTTCTTAATGCCAATAAACTGTACATTTAAAAATGGTGAAGACAGTAATTATGCATATCACATTTTATAAAAGATGTTATGACAATCTTTTATTTTCTTTAAAAATGGTTATAAGAAAAATCTACCTCAAAAAACCCATGAAGTTATAAAAAATAGTATTTAGATAAAAAACATTTTTCAAACACATTACCTTCTTCTCTACCTTAAAAACAAAATGTTTGAGAATGTAATAATACACCTGACAAGCTGCAATCAATGAAATTCTTAACTATTAATGTTATTTGGTGCCTGCATTTTGGGTTAGTCTTTTATTAAAAAAAATTACTCTTTTACAAATAGCGTATTTATAAAAACAAGTTTATTCCTTGTAGGAGAGCTGAGTGGAGAAAGTTCCTTCACCATGTGTAAAAGCATAGATCTGAGTATCAGTAAACTTGGATTCTGGCAAAGCTTTCTGGGGTCCAGTTGCCTCTTTTGTAAAATAAATTGTTGTGATGATTAAATGAGGGGGTACAGGTAGAAGTGCTTTGTGTAGCCGAGACGGGTGGATCACGAGGTCAGGAGATCGAGACCATCCTGGCTAACATGGCGAAACCCCGTCTCTACCAAAAATACAAAAAAATTAGCCAGGCGTGGTGGCGGGCGCCTGTAGTCCCAGCTACTTGGGCGGTTGGGGGGGGGGGGGCGGGCAGAGGCAGGAGAATGGCATGAACCCGGGAGGCAGAGCTTGCAGTGAGCCGAGATCGCGACACTGCACTCCAGCCTGGCGACAGAGCGAGACTCCGTCTCAAAAAAAAAAAAAAAAAAAAAGTGCTTCGTGTATGATGTGGCATGGTTTGACCACCATTAATCATTGCATATTTTGTACACTTCCCTTTATGTGTCTTTCCTTGTCATATTAGGTATATGAGGACATAAATGGTAAGCTTAAAAAGTTAAAACTTCGTAGTGGCGGGCGCCTGTAATCCCAGCTACTTGGGAGGCTGAGGCAGGAAAATTGCTTGAACTCGGGAGGCGGAGGTTGCAGTGAGCCGAGATCGTGACACTGCACTCCAGCCTGGCGACAGAGCGAGACTCCGTCTCAAAAAAAAAAAAAAAAAAAAAGTTAAACTTGGAAAGTAGTCATTAGAAACTAAAAATATGCTTTTTAGTGGTAGGCTTATTTTAAATCACCAAATATTTACATTTTTCAAATTATTTATAATGCTTCTTAATATACTTTTTAGGTATAATTGGTTTCAATGGAATACTTATACTAACATTTAATACAAAACAAAAAAACTAGTTAAGCCAAGGTGCTGTTGGAAAATGACTGTATTAGCCAGTTATGAGAACGTAATTGATAAATTCTTTAATAATTAAAAGTTTGGGTTGCTAAATACAGTTTAAACATACAGATTAATAAACTAAGTAATTCATATTATTACAGAAAGACCCTACTGTCACTTCAGAAAGTATTTGTCTCAAACTTCCCACTCCAGAAATGTTGAATATATTTAACTGAAAGTTAATGCACAACCCAACTGAAAAGTTTACCTCTCAAAAGATCCTACTTGGTAACCAATAATTTGAAAGCTCTGAATTGGTTTACTGTTTCTCCTGTCATAAAAAGGATTCTCTTTGTAATCTGTAATTCTCTTTGTAAAAGCTCTTTTTACAGAAAAAGAACACATATGTTACAGATGGCTCCCAGTAAAGCTGCTATTCAAAGTGTGAAATCCTTTTTTCTTTTTTAACTCACTGTTCTATTCAAAATATGGGTTCTTAATAAATACACCTTGGGAAATAATGTGGCATGACTGGTCAACATTTTTCTTTCTATAAATCAGAGGTATTAATATGGTTTCATTAGCCCTATGTAAACTTTAATCCTCACATAAATTGAGGAACAGAGAGACTGGTTCTTCAAATTCAATGTACAGAATTCCAGTTGCCTGCTTTGAGAAGACTCTTGCAAAAAATAGTTGATACTATGCTTAGTTTAAAAGAAAGGTAATTCCAGTTTATACCTTTTGAATCATCATGAACAAATTCCTGATTCACAGATCAATCAATTTATTTCTGAAAATATGCAAACCTGTGAATTAAATCTGGCTTCTCAAGAATAAAGCTTAAAATTTTCTATTTGTCATTAATTTCTTTCAAGCAATGTTCTTTATGGTACAGAAAAAGCAGTGAAAACATTTAAGATAGGGACAATAGAGAATCTAATTTTAGGGCAGAAAGTAAATAAGATTTTCAAGTAATAATGAGAAAATATTTCTGCTAGGATCAACAATATACACTGGACTAAGACAGGTTAATGGTATGTTTATAAAAATAAATACAAATAAATATTGAATTCTGATATCTAATATCTTTACTGAGGAGAAAAAAATAGCTTTAGGCACTGCTAAATTTTATCCATATGTTCTGGAAAAGAACTTCAACTACATTTCCCTAAGTCTAACAGATATCCAACTGTAAACACAAAGCCCACTGCAAAACATGGGTTGAAAATTAAAGCTGAAGATAATCTTAAATTTGCATAATTGAAGTCTTATGAAATCAAAGCTGGATTCAGAAAACCAGAACTCTCTATTTTGCTTTAAACATCTGAGTGTCTATTAAATAGCAAAAAATGAGTATAGCTCTATGGAACAAATGATACTTGACAAATATTCTGTCAACATTCAGAACACTGATGTTTCTAAATATTCTGCAGCAAAGCAAATAACCTAATAAAAGTCCAACCTTTGAATATATACTTAAATGTAAACTGTCAAAACTATACTCAAATGAATGCAGAGTAAACATTTACGAAAATGATATTCATAGAATAAGCAATAAGCATAACATTTACAGAATATGCAAATTTATAAAATGAGATAAATATATATATGTTGTAACAAAACTACTTTCATGTGTGCATTAACTATAATACTAATAGGTTTTAAAGTAAGAGCAATGCTCCTCAGATATCTCAGCTAGTTCTTAGACTTTGCTACCATGTGCGCTACATAACTCCATCAAAGTACTTGTCATATTATAGTGGAATTCTCTCTTTCTTGTGACTTCTCCCACCCCCCACTTGACTCTAAGGTTGTTTCTTTATCCCTTGAGCCTAAAACAGTCCTTAGCCTGTAGTAGATGCAGAAAAGACATTTCTTGAAAGAATAATGCAGAACTAAGGGAATTCTGGGAACCATGCCTACTAGGAATCACATAGTTTCATATCTACATATCTGAATTCCTAAGTGGGCTCAAACTGTGGATACATACTGAAAGATAAAGTCCTTGCCTATGAATACTGTAAGTATACAAATATACTACCTGCATTACACGCAATAATCTAAGTATGAACCTGGGAGTCATAATTTACTTTTCCTTCCATCTCACTCCCACATAAGAAATTAAAATTCTGTAAATTTCATCTTTTCTGAAATATAGGCTCTTTACCCTTCCTTCCTACTTGACTACAATGCATGTTTCTATAATGTGAAGTAGCCCATATGTGACTAGTGAAAAGGAGAATAGTGGTAGCAAAACAGAGAGGTTATACTGGTTTACATGGGATTTTTTCCAAGCACATTAATGTTTTGTGCCACAGGTAACTGCAGCTGAATACAAATTATGTTAAGAGCTAAAATTGGCTACTATTTTTAACGCATGAATTTGCAGAACATGAGGTTTTTCAGTAATATTTATCTGCAGTAGAAATGACTGTACATTCATCTTTGATGAGCTATATTAAATTTATTAAATAAGCAGACATTAAATAAGCTACTTTATTAAATAAGCTACAATTATGTGTTAAGATGAGGAATAAAGGAGAAACGAAATAACTAACAATTACCGATGATGACTACTTTGTTGGGTATAGTGTTAAGGGCTCTGAATACGTTCACTAAGTTGAGTCTATCCCAGAAGCACAAAGTTGGTTTAACATTCAAAATACAATCAATGTAAAGGCTGGGTGGAGTGGCTCATGCCTGCAATCCCAACACTTTGGGAGTCTGAAGTCCGACTTGAGACCTGGAGTTCACTTGAGACCTGGAGTTCAAGACCACCCTGGGCAATGTACCAAGACCTCATCTCTCAAAAAAAAAAAAAAAAAAAAAAAAAAAAAAAATTAGCCAGGCAGGGTGGCACTTGCCTGTAGTCCTAGCTACTTGGGAGGCTGAGGTGGGAGGATCACTTGAGCCCAGAAGTTCGAGGCTGTGGTGAGCTATGACTACACCACTGCACTCCAGCCTGGGAAACAGGCTCCAAAAAAAACAAAACCCAAAACCATATATATATATATATATATATATATATATATCTCTCTCTCTCTGGAAAAGTACAGGTAACACAGTTCTCAAAATTTCAACAATCCTATTCTCCTTATAGTACAGAAATTCTTATAAGGATAAAACTATTATCCTTATCGTACAGAACTTTTACTTGACTAAACTCTCACATATTTCTAGTAAAATATAAAATTTGACAATCAGAATTTTTATACATTCTTTGTTCTAATATATATATTTTGTTCTTATATATATTACTTTTTTGTTCTTATATTAGATATTATATATAAAATGTATATATATTCAATGTAATTCGTGTATTAACAAACAACAAAAAGAAAAACCCTATCATCATCTCAATAGGCAGATAAAAAGCCTTTGATTCCTGTGATGTGTCTAGTTAGAAAAGAAATTAAAAAAGAAAAGATTTTAAAAGCCTTTGAAAAAATCCAAAATCCATTCATGATAAAAACTCTCAGCAAACTTGGAACTGAAAGGACAATAATTTTAAAGTAGTGGTTGTAGCTATTTTCAATGTCTTAAAGGAAAATATGTTTATAACGAATGCAAAGATAGGGCATCTCAAAAGAGAAATAAAAACTATAAAAAATCAAATTGCAACTCTAGAACTAAAAAATACAATACCTAAAATAAATATAACGCAGGAAAGACACCATAAATAAGGCTTTCCAGTTTCTCAAATTTTTACTAGTCTGTACTACTTATGGATATTGCATTATAATTTTTAAAAATTTAAGAGAAAAATATCAATGAACTATAATAAACATTTGGACTAGAGAAACTGATGTCCTCTTGATTTTTGCGTGTACTTTTCAATTTCCTTGTATTTAAAATGAGAAATTTAATCAACAAAAAATTATAGACAGTTTCCTAAGGGTTTAAACACTGATGATATGAAGTAAAAAAAAAAAAAAAAAGTCTCTGTCCTCACGGAACAATCTACAAGGAAGAGATCATAGTCTCTAAGAATCCCTTCTATTGTTATAGTTGTGTAACTACCTAATGAGATTAATTCTATCCCAGTAAGACCCAAAAGGAATACTGTACATATCTGGCAAAGTATAGATAACACATTTCTCAAAATTTCAACAATCCTATTATCCTTATAGTACAGAAATTCTTGTTAAGAACTTTACTTGACTAAACTCTCACATATTTCTAGTAAAATATAAAATTTGACAATCAGAATTTTTATACATTTTTTGTTCTAAGAGATCTTTAGGGTAATTCTTTTTTCTAAATCCATTAATATATTTTGCATGTTTATAAAAAAGGCTCGAAACACTGGAGAAGGATGATATTCACCTGATCCAAAAATGTGGAAATCTCAAGTTCAAGAGTCAGACACCCTAAAAGTAATTTCACAAAATGTGTTGTCACTTGTAAAATTTGAAGAAATTATTAGTGGATTAAAAATGGAGAATACCTAAAATTATGAAATAACATGAGGGCAAATGCATGCAACACAGCAGTTCAGAGCAGGGACTCTGGGATTAGACAAGGATTTATGTCTATCTAGGGTTTACCATCTTCTGTGATACATGACCTTAGTTAATCGTTCTATCTCTAGAACATCTATCAACTATCACCAGGTAACTGTAGGTTAAATGAGAAAATTACTATTAGTCATACAGATTGATACAACTCTTTAGATACTCATTTATGCTAACATTCCTGAAATGTATTCTCATGGGCTGTTAGTAAGTGTTGTTGGGGGAAATTTAAGATTCTATGAGTTTGGGCATCTGGTTTATTTCAGGGCTTTTCAGTCTTTAATATGTGAATGTACATTGAGAATTTCCAAAAGGGAAACATAATATTTTGCATTTCTAAAACTTATTTGACTGACCCCATTTGCAATGAGTATCTCAAGGTACTAGTATGTTCCACTGAAATCAAATTTCCAAAACTGTAACTTGGGTATTATGTAGGACTATGAATAAACTGATATCCTCTGATCCAGTAGATCGATCCCTCAGCATTTTTATAATATTAAAAAATGAATTCAATAAGAATGAAGACACTTTGTGCAGTGTTTTTATAATAGCAAAAATCCATAAAACCTCAATGTCCAATGATAGAAGGATAAAAATATATCAATGTCAAGGATTATTATGCAGCTAGAATGGAGACTATAGCTGCATGAAAATGTTAAGACAGAATCCAATTTTCTACATGTATTAGGATTATAACAATATAAAAAATACATATATGGAAAAGAAAAGAACAGATGAAAACGAAACAAATTAATGTTCCAGATAGAACTGGAGTCACCCTTTTATTTAGTTATATTTTATAATATTGTATATATGATAAACAATGGTAACTGTAAACAAAGACACAAAGGTAAAAATCTTGATTAAAAACTTTTAACATGTCTCTTCTCATATTAAGTTTGCTGATAATAAATGATATTTAAATTATAGGACCATTCAAAGACTGTCAGCAAGCAAAAGAAGCTGGGCATTCGGTCAGTGGGATTTATATGATTAAACCTGAAAACAGCAATGGACCAATGCAGTTATGGTGTGAAAACAGTTTGGACCCTGGGGGTTGGACTGTTATTCAGAAAAGAACAGACGGCTCTGTCAACTTCTTCAGAAATTGGGAAAATTATAAGGTAAATCAGTGATGCAGACCTAAGGGAAGTAAAACAAATCCATTCTTGCAATAATGCAAGAAACAAGATGCTATGCAATAAATAAGACACACAGTTAAAAATAACTATCCATATGTTTTTTCATTATCTACATCTGTCAAAAAAATGATTCTCATCTCTGGTTTTAAAGTCAAAATTAAATTGCAAAAAGGAAACAGAAGATATACTTTTAAATGATCCCTTTCAGTCTGGATGACTTATACTTACTACTTTACAAAGATTACTATTAGGAAAAAAATGTTGGGCTCTTTAGATGAATATGAGAGAGACCAGGAACCCTTTTTAAGGATCTGGGTAGTATACTAGCTAATATTTTTAGTAGCTATGGATAAATTTTATTCTCATTTGCATTGTCTTATTTGTAGGATTTGAAGCTAGCTATGCAAATGAATACTGACATATCAGAAGCAAAAAACAAACAAACAAAAAGAGAATGACAATGTGTGGCTTATAAAACGCAAGTGACCAACTAAAATGGAAGCTCACATTACCACTTAAATGGCCAGTATCTTTATGCTATCGAATGTTTAACACTGCTCTGTAAAAATGTTTACTATCTCTATACTTATTTATGCACTCATGTTTCTTCACTTATTAACAGAAAGGGTTTGGAAACATTGACGGAGAATACTGGCTTGGACTGGAAAATATCTATATGCTTAGCAATCAAGATAATTACAAGTTATTGATTGAATTAGAAGACTGGAGTGATAAAAAAGTCTATGCAGAATACAGCAGCTTTCGTCTGGAACCTGAAAGTGAATTCTATAGACTGCGCCTGGGAACTTACCAGGGAAATGCAGGGGATTCTATGATGTGGCATAATGGTAAACAATTCACCACACTGGACAGAGATAAAGATATGTATGCAGGTAAGTATGAAAAACTTTCATTCTTTGTAGAATCATCACCTTCTATGCATTAAATAGAATCTACTAATATATATGCTACTAAAGTCTTTTCAAAAAGGTCAGTTTTGGTCACTGTGGCAGGAAATACAACCAACCTACTGAAAGAAATAGCTTTTAGGATTTCTTCTATAAGGCAATCCCAAAGTGTGATCTATGTGAAAAACAAAGTTCTGGGAAAAAAACACAAAGCAAAACAGAAACACATTAATCTGGAAATAAAATGCAAGTGCCTACAATTCATAACAAATACTAACTGAACACCTACCACGTGCCAGGCACTGTTGTAGGTGCTAGGGATATAACAGTGAACAAAGTTCCCGCCCTTTGGAGCTTACTCACTGGAGGAGAGACAAAACAATTTGTTAGGTGGGAATAAGTACTCTCAAAAATAAAACTGAGTAAGAAAATAGAAAGTGGTGGGCAGCAAGGCCTGGGATGGCAGCTATTTTATATGGGTTCGCCAGGAAAATCTGCTGTGAGAAAGCAACATTTGAATAAAGAGTCGCAAGAAATGAAGGATGCAAGCCATTTGGATACATGGTGTAAGAGCATTTCTTTGAGGGGGAAAACCAAGATGACTGTGACATGTGGCATAGGAATAACAAAAAAGCTTGATTCAAAGGGGAAATTAATATTTTCATTAGAAAGAAACAACTAGACCATCCACATAATTTCAAATTTAGTTTTCATATGCTTTTGACTTTTTAACCCAGGTTTCTTCTCGTCCTGATACAGAGATCCCCTCCTCCCCTCCACCCAACAATTCTCCCCCATCCCTGTCCCAAACTGGTTTTTCTCTCCAGCTGTATTTTGGCAAACAGCACACAGGTCTCTATTTTAACCAATTTTACACTGGTAAACGAGAAAAGAGGAGAGATAGACCATAACATATGTCTTATTTACAGAAACCCATTTGACTGCTGGTTTTATTTTACTTTGTATTATTTTTTGCTATTTTATTTTGACAATTCAATTTTCCTCAGACTTTTATCTTCTTCTGTATCTTTCCTTCCCAATTTCTCCCTCTGTAACTCTTTCACATATAAACACTGCTTGCATCTACTCTGCTAACTAGAAAATTAAATCCCCCTTTTTAAAAAAGTACATTGTAAGCAAGCAAAGAGTTAAAAAAAGGCAATTCAAGTGATTTTTCAAGCAGTTGATGCAACAGCCATCAAGTAAGTGAAGGCATTTAAAACTGCTGAGATAAAGGTAACTGGGATTAGTAAGGGAAGTTCAAATTAAAGGTAGAATAAGTTTTTTATGATTGCAGAGTACCACACCTAGAAGAAACTTTTACATTTATATCTGTATTTTTTCCTCAAAGGAAACTGCGCCCACTTTCATAAAGGAGGCTGGTGGTACAATGCCTGTGCACATTCTAACCTAAATGGAGTATGGTACAGAGGAGGCCATTACAGAAGCAAGCACCAAGATGGAATTTTCTGGGCCGAATACAGAGGCGGGTCATACTCCTTAAGAGCAGTTCAGATGATGATCAAGCCTATTGACTGAAGAGAGACACTCGCCAATTTAAATGACACAGAACTTTGTACTTTTCAGCTCTTAAAAATGTAAATGTTACATGTATATTACTTGGCACAATTTATTTCTACACAGAAAGTTTTTAAAATGAATTTTACCGTAACTATAAAAGGGAACCTATAAATGTAGTTTCATCTGTCGTCAATTACTGCAGAAAATTATGTGTATCCACAACCTAGTTATTTTAAAAATTATGTTGACTAAATACAAAGTTTGTTTTCTAAAATGTAAATATTTGCCACAATGTAAAGCAAATCTTAGCTATATTTTAAATCATAAATAACATGTTCAAGATACTTAACAATTTATTTAAAATCTAAGATTGCTCTAACGTCTAGTGAAAAAAATATTTTTAAAATTTCAGCCAAATAATGCATTTTATTTATAAAAATACAGACAGAAAATTAGGGAGAAACCTCTAGTTTTGCCAATAGAAAATGCTTCTTCCATTGAATAAAAGTTATTTCAAATTGAATTTGTGCCTTTCACACGTAATGATTAAATCTGAATTCTTAATAATATATCCTATGCTGATTTTCCCAAAACATGACCCATAGTATTAAATACATATCATTTTTAAAAATAAAAAAAAACCCAAAAATAATGCATGCATAATTTAAATGGTCAATTTATAAAGACAAATCTATGAATGAATTTTTCAGTGTTATCTTCATATGATATGCTGAACACCAAAATCTCCAGAAATGCATTTTATGTAGTTCTAAAATCAGCAAAATATTGGTATTACAAAAATGCAGAATATTTAGTGTGCTACAGATCTGAATTATAGTTCTAATTTATTATTACTTTTTTTCTAATTTACTGATCTTACTACTACAAAGAAAAAAAAACCCAACCAATCTGCAATTCAAATCAGAAAGTTTGGACAGCTTTACAAGTATTAGTGCATGCTCAGAACAGGTGGGACTAAAACAAACTCAAGGAACTGTTGGCTGTTTTCCCGATACTGAGAATTCAACAGCTCCAGAGCAGAAGCCACAGGGGCATAGCTTAGTCCAAACTGCTAATTTCATTTTACAGTGTATGTAACGCTTAGTCTCACAGTGTCTTTAACTCATCTTTGCAATCAACAACTTTACTAGTGACTTTCTGGAACAATTTCCTTTCAGGAATACATATTCACTGCTTAGAGGTGACCTTGCCTTAATATATTTGTGAAGTTAAAATTTTAAAGATAGCTCATGAAACTTTTGCTTAAGCAAAAAGAAAACCTCGAATTGAAATGTGTGAGGCAAACTATGCATGGGAATAGCTTAATGTGAAGATAATCATTTGGACAACTCAAATCCATCAACATGACCAATGTTTTTCATCTGCCACATCTCAAAATAAAACTTCTGGTGAAACAAATTAAACAAAATATCCAAACCTCATAGTGGTATTATTCTTTGTTTTACCTGTGGTCATCTTAAACTGGTTTTTCAGTCCCTCTCCACTTCCTTCAGAACCAAAGAATCTGTTATAAGATTCCTGGAAGGAACTGGGCATCTAACTGTTACACCAAATCTTAAGTGAATAAAACTTTACCAAGGCTTCTCAGTTATTGAAAGCAGTATATCATTTCATTTAAACACCCAAAACTTTATCAAAGACAAGCCTTACAGAATTTTCACAGAAGAATATCATTAAAACTAGAATTTGAAAGTCAACATACAACCTTGGAAAACTAGGCTGAATGCTAAACTGCCTTAGCCAATGGGCCCATTCTGCTCTCCTTCAGAGAGCTGATTTATTTTACTCTGAAGTTCCTAGACAGCATAATAACTTGGGCAACTAAGTTTCTTGAGAGGAGAGAATAAGAAGCGGTATTATATGATAGTTAGTGTAGGTTCTGAAGTCAGAACTGCTTGGGTCTGTGGCCCAGCTCTACCACTTGCTAGCTGTGTTACCTTGAGCAATTTATAAACTCCTATCTCAGCCTGAATCTATAAAATGGGGTATAATAAGAATATCTAGCTCGTGGTTTTTGTGACGATCAAATAAATGAGTTAATACAGGTAAAACATTAAGAATAATGCTTGACATTCGTAAGTACTCAGATTTAAACTATCATATTATTACTACTCATCTACGTACTTTCTGCAATACAAATCATAGCACCTTGCATAGAGTAGGTGATCAACAAACGTGTTTTAAAAACAATATCCGGGCCAGGCGTGGTGGCTCACATCTGTAATCCCAAGACTTTGGGAGGCCGAAGCAGGTGGATCACTTGAGCTCAGGAGTTTGAGACCAGCCTGGCCGACATGGTGAAACCCCATCTCTACTGAAAACACAAAAATTAGCCAGATGTGGCACATGCCTGTAAACCCAGCTACTCGGGAGGCTGAGGCAGAAGAATTGCTTGCAGTGGGCCGAGATTATGCCACTGCACTCGAGCCTGGGGGACAGAGTTAGACTCTTTCTCAAAAAACAAAACAATATCCAAGTTTTCGGGTATGAAATTACATTGATCCATTATCTTCACTTGCAAATCTAACAAAGCCATGACAGCTGTTATAGTAGGCAGTTAAGTGGCTGGACCAAAAATAAAAAGAAAACTTAAGGCAAGAAGAGACATAGTATGAATTTCAGCCTAAAGAGAGTCTTGTGAAAGACCAGGTTAGCTCATTTGTGTGGTAGGTAAGGTCCAAGAGCTACCTACTTTGCAGGTCATCTAGGAATAAAGATGGGTTTGCCTTATCTTCAGTAAGACTGAACTACAACCTTCTCTTAGAGCTGGTTTATAGAAGGATTCTTTTACTTAATTTTTCTTTTTGTTTTTTTTTAGACAGGGTCCCACTATGTCACCCAGGCTGGAGTGCAGTGGCATGATCTTAGCTCACTGTAATCTTGAACTCCTGGGCTCAAACAATCCTCCCACCTTAGCCTCCTGAGTAGCTGGGACTACAGGTGCATGCCACCATGCCCAGCTAATTTTCGTATTTTCTTTGTAGAGATGGGGTCTCACTGTGTTGCCCAGGTTGGTCTCAAACTCCTGGCCTCAAGTGATCCTCCCACCTTGGCCTCCCTAAGCACTGGGATTACAGGTGTGAGCCACTGTGTCCAGTCAAGAATAAGTTAATGAATTTTATCCTACAACAGATATAGACTCTATTCTGGACTAAATGGGAGGCCATCATTGCCTAGAACACCTGACCTCCTGAAGCAGATTTTAAAAATTTGAGATTTTGGAAAATGCCAAAATTAGACAGCAACTTGAAATTTAGTAGACACCTACAAATACACTATCTCTGGGCTTCATGCCTCGTAGAATAAAGATCAATTTTCATTCTACTGTTTACTTAACTCTGAGTCATGACAGGAGAGTGCTATTCTCTTAGCATTATATTTCTTAGGACTCCTGCTGGTAATATAAGCAGCAGAATAAACCTTCCACAATCATAAAAACATTTTAAATAACTTATAAATCTGTACTAAAGTAATATGGTTTACATATATTTAAATTAATCTTTGTAGTAAGTTAAAGATTATTATACCCTAACAAGTTTTTAGTCTTTTTATTCTAGTGTCTGTGAAAAATAACCAAGTAAGAAAACAATGATTCCACTTACAAGGCTATGACCTCGCCCTGAAAAAATGGCCATCTTATCTTAAACTAGCTCACTTTTCAGTTTTTTTTTTTCTTTTTGAGACAGAGTTTTGCTCTTGTTGCCCATGCTGAAGTGCAATGGCACAATCTCGGCTCACTGCAACCTCTGCCTCCCGGGTTCAAGTGATTCTCCTGCCTCAGCCTCCCCAGTAGCTGGGATTACAGGCGCCCACCACCACACCCAGCTAATTTTTGTATTTTCAGTAGAGATGGGGTTTCACCAAATTGGCCAGGCTAGTCTCGAACTCCTGACCTCAGGTGATCCGCCTGCTTTGGCCTCCCAAAGTGCTGGGATTACAGGCATGAGCCACCATGCCCGGCCACTTTTTAGTTTTATCAGTGGAGTTAACTGTTATCAAGTTATAATTGTACACATAATTACAGGAAAGACTGATGAATGAACTCAAAATTTTAACCTGAACACAGATACCCCAAATTTTAATGTAATCCATAATGCTTTCTTTGAGCTGTGAATGAAATACGTATCTTTACAGCAAGTCAATTTAAACTCCTTTGTCTCAGTTTCTTCACCTGTAAAATACAAGTATCATTTACCTTATAAAACTGCTGTTATGTATTAGATAATCTATATAAAGTACAGTGTCAGCTATATAGGCCTAAGTGTTGAATAAATGTTACTGAAATTATTACTTTCCTGCTAAAGCCTGCTTAAAAAAATTACAAAACAAATCACTGAAATATTCACAGTTGGAAACACCACTGGTAAAACTGTTGTTAGGGGAATCTGATTCTGTTTACAATTAGCATGCAGATCTGTATAGCTGCTGTTCTTATTTTTTTAGAAAGACAAGGCACTTAAAGAAAACACTATGAACATGGGGATGAAATTAACACAACCCCACCCCCAGCTCTTTTATTTCAGAAGTCTTTGGTCTAAAGTAAACTTCAGAAAACATATCAACAAAGAATTTAGAGGAATTTTAAATATATAAAAGAGTGAGGGTAAAAAAATATATAAATGAGGTAATGGAAAATGGGGATGTAATTCTGGCTAAAGAAAAGGGGCTAGCTGCCATTTGGTCAGAGCTTATTCTCAAATCCAAAAGAAAATCAGTGAAGATGCTTTACTGCTGTTTTAGTATACAATATATAACAACATATAATTAAAAGAATAGGGTAAGGTAATCCATAATGTATATTATTGACAAATCAAACTAAAGAAAGGAAAATGGAATAAAACTTGAAATATTAAAAGCCAATGACATTTATTGACCAACAGGCATTTCTGAGATCAGTGTCAGAGCCTTACATATTGAAGAAAAATTCTATCAAACGAGAGGAAAAATCTCCTTTTAATTCCTACAGATCAGCAAAAAGACTTGGACTTTGTTGAAATTATCTGAATAGAAATATGAATACAAAACTATTATTCTTGAAAACATTTTTACATGAGTTAGAAATTTCTAAAACTAAATAACTATATTCTACTGAATATTTAACAATTCAATATATGCAAAAACGACTGAAAACCAAATCGGTAAGATTCTTATCATTTTAGGTATGCTTTAAAAATGTCATTAACTATGATAAGGACACCACTAACAATGTAAGGCACAAGGCAATGATATGCATCTCTTCCAGGATATAGAAAAGAGGAGAGATTATTCATGAGGTTAATGATATCCTGGACCTTTGTAATTCCAGAGATATTAAGTTCTATAAAGGCAGGGACAAAGCCCATTGTAATCTCTTGCTATATATTTAGCACCAAGCACAGTGCTAAGTAAATACTAGGTGCCAGCTGAGGCACCAAAAACAAAACAAAATAACAACAACAAAAAAAATCAGGGGTGGGTAAGGAGTTGACCCATGCAAATATGCCACACAAATACATTTATTGTTTAAACAGAAATTAAATCAAAATCACTGAAACAATGGGAAGAGCTAGAAAGGGATAATTAGTTGAACCAAGAAACATTTATTATATGACTACTTTTGTTCTAGATGCTGTAAGGATAAACCCTTAAACCAAGACAAATAGGGGCTTACATTCTGTTGAGGAGGAGACAGATTAATGAAAATATCATAAACAGGGTGCTTTTCAGAGAGCAGTAGGCAAGGAACACTATATTACAGAGGGTTATAAGAAAAGTATTTCTCTTCTAACAAAAAAGTACTATCATGAAAACCTGACATATTAAATTAAAAATTAAATGGGGAAGGGGAAGAAGTCTCTCTCCAACAGGAAAAAGGAGTCATATCTAGATCCACCAAAAGAGTATACTCACATTCTACAGAGGGCTAGAGATTTTACAAAAACTTTTCTGTTACATTCTGCTTCTACTTAATAGGAAGCAGTACAGAGTACTGCAACAATTTACTGATTTCCACAGTTCAAAAAATATGGTTTTTTTTTTTTTTTTGAGATGGAGTCTTGCTCTGTCACCCAAGCTGGAGTGGGAATACAGGCGTGTGCCACCACACCCAGCTAATTTTTTGTATTTTTTAGTAGAGACGTGGTTTTGCCATGTTGGCCAGGCTGGTCTCGAACTCCTGACCTCAGGTGATCCACCTGCCTCAGCCTCCCAAAGTGCTAGGATGACAGGCATGAACCACCGCACCTAGCCAAAATATGCTTTCTTGGTCGAGCTACTGCATCTTTGTAGTACATAAAGTAGAAATGAGGCTTAGAAAAAGCACATTAAAGAATATTTATGATGTTTCATATAACTAAATTATTTTTTTCACAATATTCTAGTTTGCTCTCGTCAGCAAAATAAAACTTACCATGCCAAATTCTTCAACAAGCCCCTTAAGACTGTTCTCCAATGACAAGAACAAATAAGTGTTGTTAATGACTTTCAGATTTAAAAGCAATAATTCTCTTATAAAGCAATTTTTTCCTTCAGATTTGCCAACTATTCCTCTCTAGACAAATTATATCCTTATTCTAAGAATTTTTCACGATATTGTCCAAGCTGACTAATTTTTACCTTGAATGCAAACCAACAGAAGAGACAATTTTTCAAGGGATGATGAGTTGAGAGCCGAGAAAACATTTCTACTTCTTATAATTTAATCCACATTGAACTACAGATAAATTTGGTGGTATCAAAATAAGAGTTTTACCAGCATATAGGACTCTACTCCCTTTTACAAGCTTCACAAAAATTGGTAGGTTTTGGTTCTCATTTTTAGGGGAGAAAAAACTATTAGTTTGGACCATATACCTCATGTTAAGAAATCATTAGCGGTTACCTTTTTTCTATGCACTATAGATATTTCATGGATATATTCTTTCCATAATAACCTCTGCAGACATAATGAATAAAGCATAGCATTATGCAAACTCTGTATACTTGAAGAGGAATAGTTAAATGAAGCTACCAATTTGCATAATGAGTTTTACCTTTTAATTGTTCTTAGGGCAACTTCTATCAAATGTACAGCATTTATAAATGCTGAAGTTTTTGTCAACTGTACTAAGCCTCCCTTCACATGAATAGAAAAGGATTCTGAATCAAAACCATGTATGTTTTAATAGATTAAATACATTTAATCTAACGGTTTGCTATAAGGCAAAGCAGTCATTACATTAAAAGGATGATTTTCATACTGGAAACGAACTAAACTGAGTCATAAAAACTCATCTGACAAATGTTTCATTTTCCTTTCCCATGTCTACCAAATATTTATGCCCAGGAGTCCACAATAATCTCACAATCAAGATGCTTCTTCACATACCCAGATAGGGATGAACTATATGAAGAATACCAGTATCTAAAATTATGCAGATGCTATAGTGTATGTTCTTAATTTCCTTCTGTTTTTTTTTCCCTTTTTGGTTTCTTTCTTTCTTTTTTTTTTTTTAATTATACTTTAAGTTTTAGGGTACATGTACACAATGTGCAGGTTTGTTACATATGTATACATGCGCCATGTTGGTGCACTGCACCCACTAACTCGTCATCTAGCATTAGGTATATCTCCCAATGCTATCCCTCCCCCCTCCCCCCACCCCACCACAGTCCCCAGAGTGTGATATTCCCCTTCCTGTGTCCATGTGATCTCATTGTTCAGTTCCCACCTATGAGTGAGAATATGTGGTGTTTGGTTTTTTGATCTTGCGATAGTTTACTGAGAATGATGATTTCCAATTTCATCCATGTCCCTACAAAGGACATGAACTCATCATTTTTTATGGCTGCATAGTATTCCATGGTGTATATGTGCCACATTTTCTTAATCCAGTCTATCATTGTTGGACATTTGGGTTGGTTCCAAGTCTTTGCTATTGTGAATAATGCCGCAATAAACATACGTGTGCATGTGTCTTTATAGCAGCATGATTTATAGTCATTTGGGTATATACCCAGTAATGGGATGGCTGGGTCAAATGGTAATTCTAGTTCTAGATCCCTGAGGAATCGCCACACTGACTTCCACAATGGTTGAACTAGTTTACAGTCCCACCAACAGTGTAAAACTGTTCCTATTTCTCCACATCCTCTCCAGCACCTGTCGTTTCCTGACTTTTTAATGATTGCCATTCTAACTGGTGTGAGATGGTATCTCATAGTGGTTTTGATTTGCATTTCTCTGATGGCCAGTGATGGTGAGCATTTTTTCATGTGTTTTTTGGCTGCATAAATGTCTTCTTTTGAGAAGTGTCTGTTCATGTCCTTCGCCCACTTTTTGATGGGGTTGTTTGTTTTTTTCTTGTAAATTTGTTTGAGTTCACTGTAGATTCTGGATATTAGCCCTTTGTCAGATGAGTAGGTTGCAAAAATTTTCTCCCATTTTGTAGGTTGCCTGTTCACTCTGATGGTAGTTTCTTTTGCTGTGCAGAAGCTCTTTAGTTTAATTAGATCCCATTTGTCAATTTTGTCTTTTGTTGCCATTGCTTTTGGTGTTTTGGACATGAAGTCCTTGCCCATGCCTATGTCCTGAATGGTGATGCCTAGGTTTTCTTCTAGGGTTTTTATGGTTTTAGGTCTAACGTTTAAATCTTTAATCCATCTTGAATTGATTTTTGTATAAGGTGTAAGGAAGGGATCCAGTTTCAGCTTCCTACATATGGCTAGCCAGTTTTCCCAGCACCATTTATTAAATAGGGAATCCTTTCCCCATTGCTTGTTTTTCTCAGGTTTGTCAAAGATCAGATAGCTGTAGGTATGCGGCGTTATTTCTGAGGGCTCTGTTCTGTTCCATTGATCTATATCTCTGTTTTGGTACCAGTACCATGCTGTTTTGGTTACTGTAGCCTTGTAGTATAGTTTGAAGTCAGGTAGTGTGATTCCTCCAGCTTTGTTCTTTTGGCTTAGGATTGACTTGGCAATGCGGGCTCTTTTTTGGTTCCATATGAACTTTAAAGTAGTTTTTTCCAATTCTGTGAAGAAAGTCATTGGTAGCTTGATGGGGATGGCATTGAATCTGTAAATTACCTTGGGCAGTATGGCCATTTTCACGATATTGATTCTTCCTACCCATGAGCATGGAATGTTCTTCCATTTGTTTGTATCCTCTTTTATTTCCTTGAGCAGTGGTTTGTAGTTCTCCTTGAAGAGGTGCTTCACATCCCTTGTAAGTTGGATTCCTAGGTATTTTATTCTCTTTGAAGCAATTGTGAATGGGAGTTCACTCATGATTTGGCTCTCTGTTTGTCTGTTGTTGGTGTATAAGAATGCTTGTGATTTTTGTACATTGATTTTGTATCCTGAGACTTTGCTGAAGTTGCTTATCAGCTTAAGGAGATTTTGGGCTGAGACAATGGGGTTTTCTAGATATACAATCATGTCGTCTGCAAACAGGGACAATTTGACTTCCTCTTTTCCTAATTGAATACCCTTTATTTCCTTCTCCTGTCTAATTGCCCTGGCCAGAACTTCCAACACTATGTTGAATAGGAGTGGTGAGAGAGGGCATCCCTGTCTTGTGCCAGTTTTCAAAGGGAATGCTTCCAGTTTTTGCCCATTCAGTATGATATTGGCTGTGGGTTTGTCATAGATAGCTCTTATTATTTTGAAATACGTCCCATCAATACCTAATTTATTGGGAGTTTTTAGCATGAAGGGTTGTTGAATTTTGTCAAAGGCTTTTTCTGCATCTATTGAGATAATCATGTGGTTTTTGTCTTTGGCTCTGTTTATATGCTGGATTACATTTATTGATTTGCATATATTGAACCAGCCTTGCATCCCAGCGATGAAGCCCACTTGATCATGGTGGATAAGCTTTTTGATGTGCTGCTGGATTCGGTTTGCCAGTATTTTATTGAGGATTTTTGCATCAATGTTCATCAAGGATATTGGTCTAAAATTCTCTTTTTTTGTTGTGTCTCTGCCAGGCTTTGGTATCAGGATGATGCTGGCCTCATAAAATGAGTTAGGGAGGATTCCCTCTTTTTCTATTGATTGGAATAGTTTCAGAAGGAATGGTACCAGCAACTCCTTGTACCTCTGGTAGAATTTGGCTGTGAATCCATCTGGTCCTGGACTTTCTTTGGTTGGTAGGCTATTAATTATTGCCTCAATTTCAGAGCCTGTTATTGGTCTATTCAGGGATTCAACTTCTTCCTGGTTTAGTCTTGGGAGGGTGTATGTGTCCAGGAATTTATCCATTTCTTCTAGATTTTCTAGTTTATGTGCAGAGAGGTGTTTACAGTATTCTCTGATGGTAGTTTGTATTTCTGTGGGATCGGTAGTGATATCCCCTTTATCATTTTTTATTGTGTCTGTTTGATTCCTCCCTTTTCTTTATTATATATATAGTCTTGCTAGTGGTCTATTTTGTTGATCTTTTAAAAAAACACCAGCTCCTGGATTCATGGATTTTCTTGAAGGGTTTTTTGTGTCTCTATCTCCTTCAGTTCTGCTCTGATCTTAGTTATTTCTTGCCTTCTGCTAGCTTTTGAAGGTGTTTGCTCTTGCTTCTCTAGTTCAATTGTGATGTTAGGGTGTCAATTTTAGATCTTTCCTGCTTTCTCTTGTGGGCATTTAGTGCTATAAATTTCCCTCTACACACTGCTTTAAATGTGTCCCAGAGATTCTGGTATGTTGTGTCTTTGTTCTCATTGGTTTCAAAGAACAGCTTTATTTCTGCCTTCATTTTGTTATGTACCCAGTAGTCATTCAGGAGCAGGTTGTTCAGTTTCCATGTAGTTGAGCGATTTTGAGTGAGTTTCTTAATCCTGAGTTCTAGTTTGATTGCACTGTGGTCTGAGAGGCAGTTTGTTGTAATTTATGTTCTTTTACATTTGCTGAGGAGTGCTTTACTTCCAACTATGTGGTCAATTTTGGAATAAGTGCAACATGGTGCTGAGAAGAATGTATATTCTGTTGATTTGGGGTGGAGAGTTCTGTAGATGTCTATTAGGTCTGCTTGGTGCAGAGCTGAGTTCAATTCCTGGATATCCTTGTTAACCTTCTGTCTTGTTGATCTGTCTAATGTTGACAGTGGGGTGTTAAAGTCTCCCATTATTATTGTGTGGGAGTCTAAGTCTCTTTGTAGGTCTCTAAGGACTTGCTTTATGAATCTGGGTGCTCCTGTATTGGGTGCATATATATTTAGGATAGTTAGCTCTTCTTGTTGAATTGATCCCTTTACCATTATGTAATGGCTTTGTCTCTTTTGATCTTTGTTGGTTTAAAGTGTTTTATCAGAGACTAGGATCGCAACCCCTTTTTTTGTTTTCCATTTGCTTGGCAGATCTTCCTCCATCCCTTTATTTTGAGCCTATGTGTGTCCCTGCACATGAGATGGGTCTCCTGAATACAGCACACTGATGGGTCTTCACTCTTTATCCAATTTGCCAGTCTGTGTCTTTTAATTGGAGCATTTAGCCCATTTACATTTAGTTAATATTGTTATGTGTGAATTTGATCCTGTCATTATGATGTTCGCTGGTTATTTTGCTCATTAGTTGATGCAGTTTCTTCCTAGCATCAATGGTCTCTACAATTTGGCATGTTTTTGCAGTGGCTGGTACCAGTTGTTCCTTTCCATGTTTAGTGCTTCCTTCAGGAGCTCTTGTAAGGCAGGCCTGGTGGTGACAAAATATCTCAGCATTTGCTTGTCTGTAAAGGATTTTATTTCTCCTTCACTTATGAAGCTTAGTTTGGCTGGATATGAAATTCTGGGTTGAAAATTCTTTTCTTTAAGAATGCTGAATATTGGCCCTCACTCTCTTCTGCCTTGTAGAGTTTCTGCAGAGAGATCTGCTGTTAGTTTGATGGGCTTCCCTTTGAGGGTAACCTGACCTTTCTCTCTGGCTGTCCTTAACATTTTTTCCTTCATTTCAACTTTGGTGAATCTGGCAATTATGTGTCTTGGAGTTGCTCTTCTCGAGGAGTATCTTTGTGGCATTCTCTGTATTTCCTGAATTTGAATGTTGGCCTGCCTTGCTAGGTTGGTGAAGTTCTCCTGGATAATATCCTGCAGAGTGTTTTCCAACTTGGTTCCATTCTCCCTGTCACTTTCGGGTATACCAATCAGACGCAGGTTTGGTCTTTTCACATAGTCCCATTTTTCTTGGAGGCTTTGTTCGTTTCTTTTTACTTTTTTCTCTAAACTTCTCTTCTCGCTTCATTTCATTCATTTGATCTTCAATCACTGATACCCTTTCTTCCAGTTGATCGAATAGGCTACTGAAGCTTGTGCATGTGTCACGTAGTTCTTGTGCCATGGTTTTCAGCTCCATCAGGTCATTTAAGGACTTCTCTACACTGGTTATTCTAGTTAGCCATTCGTCTGATCTTTTCTCAAGGTTTTTAGCTTCTTTGCGACGGATTCGAACTTCCTCCTTTAGCTCGGAGAAGTCTGATAATCTGAAGCCTTCTTCTCTCAACTCGTCAAAGTCATTATCCATCCAGCTTTGTTCTGTTGCTGGCAAGCATTCCTTTGGAGGGGGAGAGGTGCTCTGATTTTTAGAATTTTCAGCTTTTCTGTTCTGTTTTTTCCCCATCTTTGTGGTTTTATCTACCTTTGGTCTTTGATGATGGTGACATATAGATGGGGTTTTGGTGTGGATGTCCTTTCTGTTAGTTTTGCTTCTAACAGTCAGGACCCGCAGCTGCAGGTCTGTTGGAGTTTGCTGGAGGTCCACTCCAGACCCTGTTTGTGGGGATATCAGCAGCGGAGGCTGCAGAACAGTGAATATTGCTGAACAGCAAATGTTGCTGCCTGATTGTTCCTCTAGAAGCTTCGTCTCAGAGGGCTACCCAGATGTGTGAGGTGTCAGTCTGCCCCTACTGGGGGGTGTCTCCCAGTTAGGCTACTTGGGGGTCAGGGACCCACTTGAGGAGGCAGCCTGTCTGTTCTCAGATCTCAAACTCTGTGCTGCGAGAACCATTACTCTCTTCAAAGCTGTCAGACAGGGACATTTAAGTCTGCAGAGGTTTCTGCTGCCTTTTGTTCAGCTATGCCCTGCAGAGGTGGATTCTACAGAGGCAGGTAGGCCTCCTTGAGCTGCGGTGGGCTCCACCCAGTTTGAGCTTCCAGGCCGCTTTGTTTACCTACTCAAGCCTCAGCAATGGCGGATGCCCCTTCCCCAGCCTCGCTGCCGCCTTGCAATTCGATCTCAGATGGCTGTGCTAGCAATGAACAAGGCTCTGTGGGCGTGGCACCCTCTGAGCCAGGCACGGGATCTAATCTCCTGGTGTGCCATTTGCTAAGACCTCTGGAAAAAGTGCAGTATTAGGGTGGGAGTGACCCGATTTTCCAGGTGCCTTCTGTCACACCTTCCCTTGGTTAGGAAAGGGAATGCCCTGACCCCTTGCACTTCCCGGGTGAGGTGATGCCTCGCCCTGCTTCGGCTCGGTGGGCTGCACCCACTGTCCTGCACCCACTGTCCGACAAGCCCCAGTGAGATGAACCCGGTACCTCAGTTGGAAATGCATCAATCACCTGTCTTCTGTGTTGCTCATGCTGGGAGCTGTAGACTGGAGTTGTTCCTGTTCGGCCATCTTGGAACCCTCCCCGCTGCCTTTTGTTTTCTAATTCTTGGGTAACCCTCAGACACATACATTTTACTAGAGAATATGAGAAGCAGAGGAGGAGGAAACAGAAATGCATTAAAACACCAGGCTGTAGTGTGGTACCGCAGTGTCAATACTACTACACTGACTGGTCACTGGTAGAGAAAGCTAGGAGATCAGATGGGGATCAAGTTTGGAGGAAGAAGAAGACATGATGAATTCACTTCTGCACATGTTGAATGGGAGATACCTGTAGATTTTTCTCACTTAATGAATCAGTATTTTAGTACCTAAAAATGTTAGACGGCCCCAGGGATTAAGTAGATAGCTAAGATATACAGATAGATATAAAATATACAGTGATATACAAAGTTAGACAGATTCAGTCTAGATTTGGAAGATCAGGCAATATACAGAAAAAACCTGAATGAGACCACTCCGATTATATAGAGTAAGAAAAGAAGTGGACTGGCTGAGCCCAGTGGCTCACACCTGTAATCCCAGCACTTTGGGAGGCTGAAGCAGGAAGACTGCTTGAGGCCAGGAGTTTGAGATCAGCCTGGGCAACATGGCGAGATCCTGTCTCTACAAAAAAAATTTTAAAATTAGCTGTGCTTGGTGGTGCACACCTGTAGTCTCAGCTACTGCAGAGGCTAAGGTGGGAGGATCGCTTGAGTCCAGAAGTTTGAAGCTGCAGTGAGCTGATCATGCCACTGCACACCAGCCTGGATGACAGAGTGAGACCCTGTCTCTGAAAAATAAAAATAAAAAAAAGAAAGAAAGAAAAGAAGTGGACTGAGACCTCTCAAGAATACATTTAAGAGACAAAGGTAGAGTAAGAGCAGCTAATAAAAGCCAGAAATGTAGAAGGGAAACCAAGAAAGACTGGTGCTACTTGTGGAGAATTTCAAGGAGGAGAAATAATTGACACCAACCCTCACACAATTAAGATGGGGCTTGAGAAACATCTATAAAATGTTTCAACCAGGAAGTCACTGGTGACCTTATTAGGAAAATTTCTAGAGAGTGAAGATGGAGAAAAAGGTGACAACAAGAATGAGATACTTTTAAATTGGCTTAAGTATAAAGTGAAGCAGAACTACACGGTGAGAGTGAAACGTAAGATCCTACATCATGAGAACATATAAAATGAAAGGGAACTGAAAAAAAGAAGGAGTCATTGGAGATGATGGGAAAAATGGAAGATACGAGAAAAACAATGCTTGTAATATTTTCTCAAAATTAACATCTGTACCTCAACATTTTCCGCATTTGCTTTAACCCGTAGGTATGATTACTCTTTGTTTCAGGTCGGGGGCTGAGACAGAAGAGGTATATTCTCCACTAGAAAACCTTTCCTGATTCTACTAAACTCCAACTTGGCTAGTGCTTTCTTCCCCAACTTTCTCTCTGTGTGTGCATGAGAGTGCATGAATGTACCTGAGCACATATACAGACGTACACAGCTTCAATCCTGTACTGATGTCTCCACTGTGGAAAAATGTCAAGAAGGTCCAAGAGTACAAGAAGGTCCCCAACTAGAAATCACAGCATAAGGATTCCTATTATCTTATTTTCTCATTTTGAATGGAAAATAATCTTAATTTTCTTTTCTAGAAGATACAAATTATGAAATTTAGTTTGAGAAAAACATATTTCAATGAGAAAAAGAAAGCAATCGTAAAATTGGTAAATTTTAAAATGAGAGTTCAGCAGGTATAATTGGAGCTCTCTAGGTTAAGACTTCAGAATGCAGACCTGTCAGTAACTAGGTCTTAGGACTATGAGCCAGGTCTTCTACCTTTCTGGATCTTGGTTTTCTCGATAGTAAAATAAGTTAATTAGAAGACATCACTACAGCTGGGTGCCATCACTCATGCCTATAATCCCAGCAATTTGGGAGGCTGAGGTGGGCGGACAACTTGAGGTCAGGAATTCAAGACTAGCCTGGCCAATATGGTGAAACCCCATCTCGACTAAAAATACAAAAATTAGCTGGGCATGGTGGTGCATGCCTGTAATCCCAGCTACCTGGGAGGCTGAGGCAGGAGAATCACTTGAACCCAGGAGGCGGAGGTTGCAGTGAGCTGAGACTGTGCCACTGCACTCTAGCCTGGACAACAGAGCGAGACTCTGTCGCAAAAAAAAAAAAAAAAAAGAAAAGAAAGAAGATATCACAATGCTCCCATCCAGCCTTAAGGAGAACATGATTCTAGTCCTATGCATGCTATTTCTAGGTAAAGAGAACAAGGCTCAAAGAAGAAAATTCAATGACTTGAAAAATAAGGACTGTAGAGTCATTGTGGAATTGAGGATTGCCAATTCTCAGTCTAATGTTCTTCATACTATAAAAAGTACACATTCTTCTGAATTGTGAAGGTATTATTTTTGAAAAATTCCCTATTCCTTCTCTCCTCAAATTATATTTGCAAGTATGGGCACAGCCAAGGCTATGGTAAAACACAGAGCACCACGCTGGGTGTGATGGCTCATGCCTACAATCCCAGCACTTTGGGAGACTGAGATGGGCGGATCACTTGAGGCCAGGAGTTCAAGACCAGCCTGGCCAACATGGCGAAACCCTGTCTCTACTAAAAATACAAAAATTAGCTGGGCGTGGTGGTGCTTGCCTGTAATCCCAGCTACTTGGGAGGCTGAAGCAGGAGAATCACTTGAACTTGGAAGGCAGAGGCTGCAGCAAGCAGCGATCGCACTTCTGAGCTCCAGCCTAGGAAACAGAGCGAGGCTGTCTCAAAAAACAAACAAAACAAAACAAAACAAACAATGACAGCAACAACCTAAAAATGTAAAGCACATACAGAATGTCTTTCTCCTAATATCCAGCTTAGAGCCTCTCTGATAAGAGTCATGCTTACTATGATCCTAAGCTGTTTATCAAAGAAACAGGACAAAATATTCTGGGATGCAGTGGCCACTAACTCTACTGTGCTTAGGGGTATTCTGCCTTCAACACAAGGTACACAATAGGTCCCCATTCTCTGCAATCCTAGGGTGTCCCACAATATTCTAAAGAGTTAAACTCTTCTCTGGGAAACTAAGGTTGATGTTCTATAGTAGCTAAATGGGCATGTATCAACTGCCTTTGTCCCTTCTTTGTCTTCTAGTCACTGGGACTGTAAACACTTCAAGGTGACACTGTAATCACTCTCAGAAATAGCTATCTTGAAATTTAGTGTGAGTAATTTCATCAAACACAAAATCTGGGGGGTGGGGAGGACCAGAAAGCACCAAATCTTCATCATTTGATTACTCTCTACATAGGATCAAATCAATTCATTTTAATGTATGCTAGGTATGTATCATGTATTTTCCTTATGTTTGATTTACATACCTATTTAAAAGAACAACTTATTTGGGTCTTCTTTTCATTCAAACACCTAACAAAGCATTATTCATATTTTGTTAAAAATAATCTTATAATATTACTGGTTAAATACTTCTTGAATTTATAAGCACTACAAGATATATAATAAAGAGATAAATTCTTAATTAGATGAGATGCGAAATACAGAACTGTCTCAGCACGAAGCTAAATTGCCACAGTGAATCAACTCATTTCATTCAGGTAAACAACAATACCAATATGCACTGAGACTACTTCAGAATTCACACTAAAATATCTCCTCACTATATAAGGACTTTGATCAATTTCCTTAATGTATTAAACATCATTACGAACTATTATATTCTTTAAAAGCATTACTAAAACAGCTAAAAATATTGTTTTACTATATGGTCCTACTCTAAGAAAACATAATAGTCTAAGAAAAACCTTGAGGGCAAAAGGCTAATCTAATATGAAAATACATTCCAGGTAACAGGGTAACAACTATCTTTAGTCATTTTTTTCAGCTTACCAATCTTGAAGTAATTTATTTAAAAGATACAAACATTTAAAAAATACCTTGAATTTCACATAAATTACTGAGTAAGGAAGAGTAACAACTAGAAACAAAAAACACACAGTGACATAACTCACCTAAATAGGGAATGCAAGGTGTCATCTTTAAGCTACTTATATAGTCTCTGAGTCTTTTGTAGTTATCTTCTTTACTCATTACATATTCTAATTTTTCAAAGGTAGTTTTGTCTTTTCGACTTAATAACTAAAAAACAAACAGAAAAACCTAAGTTATTTACAAATCTCATTTTATTGTAGCAAAGACCTGAACTGAAGTTGTATTTACTGTGAATATGGATTTTAATTTCAAAGTTATATCTTCTTTAATTATATCTTGGTAGTATATAAATAAGACAAAATCAGATTTGTCTATTAATAATCCAAATTCATTATTTATAAGATATCCTTTGTATGTTCATAAAATTAACTAAGTAATAAATTATAACATTTTCGTGTTTACTATTTTAAATTAATCAATTTTTATTAATCACCTTCCTAATTTTAGAAAATTATGCATTCATATTTAGCTCAAATGTCCAAGTATTTTAATGAACTGTCCCTTGCCACCTCAAAGATAAACATCATTCTTGCATAATGTTAAGAAATAAACACCAAATTTTGCGATTAACACTTTTTCTTGATAAATCTAGTCATGGCTAGTCCTAATAACTGTAAAATCCTTTAATTCCTTACATTTTTGGATTTCTGATATTTTCTTCTCTTTGATCAGTGCTATATCACATACAACATAACTAAAAGATACTGTTGTAAGACACTTGAGAGGCAGATTTGCAGTAAGTGCCTTTGAGATCAATGTAAATAATCAAGGGGAGTTGAAAAAAAAAAAAGCAAAGTCAGTCACCCACAATGGTGTTCACTAAAAGGTTCAGGAAATAGTTTTTCAAATCATTCCAAAGACTGGAAAATTTTTTTTTTTATTTAGACATGAAGTTTCTATTTCATTACTACATTAGATTTCACTTTATTTCATATTAAAATATTGGTGTTGTTTTACAGCATGCAAAACATTTCCACCTATGTAAGTCTCACCTAATTTTCCTATGAGATTAACAAAAAAGTATGAGTATTAATTTAGAGATGAAGAGACTGAGATCACAAGGTTAGCAAGCAGCAGAATATAATACTCTCTGTTACCCACTCACTCACAAAGATGTATGTCCTTGTTTTTCAGGATCTTATAGTCTGGTTCTGGAGATAAGAATATTCTGACACCTAATCCACTACTCTTTCTAGTATTATAAGTAGTACAGTTGGGATCTATTGTTCAGAGGCTCAAAGATGCAGACTATCTTCAGAAAATCTCTATTAGAAAAATGTCTCAACAGTATCGCTCCCTCTTTAAAATACAACGTCAAGGGGTCCTTTGCTTTAATGTTTTAGATGGATATTCCATGGTCTAAAACAGCGGTTTTACAATTTTCTCTTACTCCACTTTCAAGATACTTGATTAGTAATCTCAAGATTAGGTGCAAATGTTTGCTTGCTGCCTGTATATCTAACTCTTTACCACTTAAGGAAGTATCTGGATATGCAAAATATAGTTATGTGACATAGGGATAATGATAAACCTGCTCTTTATTTTCCCCTAAGTCAATCATTCAAAAACTTTGGTACAATACCAGGAGAAACAAATTACTTAGAACTCGTAACTAATCTTGCCACAGCTGAAACACAGAACTGTTATAACAAACTATAACATGATTTTGTAATTTTCATAATAAATCAATAATCAGATAAATAGAATTCAATCTGAGTTGTGGTAGGAGAGACTTGTTTCCAGAAGACTAGAGGAAGAATATGAATATAAAGAACTAATTAGATGTTAATATAGGTATTTCCTGAATGATAGCTCAGAAGCTCTATTAACTGAGAAGCCTTTTCTTTCTTCTTTTCAAATCTTCTTTTGATATTTATAATGTTATATTTAAAAAGTCTCTTTACTGTATTTTCCCCTCCAAAAACCGCTGGGGGTGGGGGGGGCGGGGCGGACAAAATACTTCACAGTGTTCTACTTCTACATGTCCTTGGCACCAAGAGCATGACAAATGGGGGCAAGCCTCTTCACACTTTCATTGATATTAATGAAAGAGGAGACCCACAGAATTCTAGATGTTCCTGACCAGATATCTAACACCACCTTACCACCACAATCTGTTTTGGGGGAAAACCTAGATGAATGCCCGCTCATGTCAGTCACCCCAGGAAACACAAACTCCCAGATTATTCCTCATCACCTTGGTTTGTATCTTCACACAATATGTGTGAATGTGTGCAACTGCATAAATGAATACTTTATCTTAGACCCGGGGTGCAGATTAATTATAATCTTTTGTTTGTGACACTCAATTATCATTAGAGCCTGGTATGGCTTTGTTAAATGGATTTAAACTTTATAACGAACACACATGACTCATCTTCCATCCAATTGCCTTGACTGCCTTTAAGAGGTAACCAGTAACCACTACTCTGAATGTTCTGTTTATCATTCCCCTCAAATTTTATTTCATTTTTGGCAAATTTTATTCCATTTTAACTTTTATTTCATTTTTAGTCTTTGGCAATTACTTTGTTCATATAACATTGTGATATTAAAGCTTCATCCATGAAGTTGTGGGAAGCTATAGTTCATTCATTTTCACTGCTTCTATGTGTATCCTCTCCTCTACAAAATACATTTATAATGTTAATTTTTCTATTTTTTTTCTTTTTTCGTTGTTAAGAGTTCTGGATGCAAATTCTTGTGTTGGACACATTCTAGTTGGACAACTAACTGTTGCACATATCTTCCGCCCACTGCATCCTCTTTTCCATTTTAAGGTATCTTTTGATGAACAGAAATTCTTACTCTAACATGACAAAATTTATTATTATTTTTTTCATTGTTGGAGCTTTCTGTATCTTATCTAAAAAATCCTTACTTATCCAAAGCCAGAAATCTATTCATGCCAAACCAGAGAGATATTCACATATATTTTTCCTTCTAAAAAACTGAAGTTTTTCATTTCACATTTAAGCCCTTGAGTCATCTCACAAGGATTTTTGTGAATGGCGCAAGGGGCCTGATTTCATTTTTTCCCCCAAACTGGTGACCAATTTTGCAGCTCCAATTAATAAACAGCCCCTCATTTCTTTACCAACTTACAATGCCACCTCTGTCATACACGTATCAGAATCCTGTAAAAACAAGGAGGTATTTCTGGGTTCTTCATTCTGTTTCATTGGTAGATATGTCTAAAACTGCAGGAATCATACACTGTCCAAGAATCTAGTATATCCTGACATCTGTTAGGCCAAGTGCTTATCTCCCCAATTCCCATTGTCTTCTTTAGCTATTCCTGAACCTTTAAATTTCCATATAAATTTTACAATCAATCTTCCACCAGCAGTACTGGGGTATAACTGACAAATTTAAATTGCATATACTTGAGGTGTACATGTTTTAATACACATATATAATGAAATTATTATCAAGCTATCAAGCTAATTAACATATCCATCATCTCACAAAGTTAGTTACTTCTTATGTATTTGTATGGTAAGAACATTTAAGATTCACTCTTTTAGGCTGGACACGGTGGCTCAAGCTTGTAATCCTAGCACTTTGGGAGGCCAAGGCAGGCAGATCACTTGAGGTCAGGAGTTCGAGACCAGCCTGGCCAACAAGGCAAAACGCCATCTCTACTAAAAATATAAAAATTAGCTGGGCAAAATGGTGGGCGCCTGTAATCCCAGCTACTCAGGAGGCTGAGGCAGGAGAATCACTTGAGCCTGGGAAGTGGAGATTGCAGTGAGCCAAGATTGTGCCACTGCGCTACAGCCTGGGTGATAGAGCGAGACTCCATCTCAAAAAAAATAAAAATAAATAAATAATAAATAAAATTTAAAAAGATCCACTCTCTCAGAAAAGTTCAAGTATACAACATAGTCTTATTAACTATAGTCAACTATAGTCCTCATGCTGTACATTAGATCTCCAGAACTTATTCTCTCTCCATTAGTGGTCCCTAACCTTTTTGGCACCAGCGACAATTTTTCCATGAACATGAATGGGGAAAGGTTTTGGGATGAAACTGTTCCACCTCAGATCATCAGGCATTAGATTCTCATAAGGAGCACACAACCTAGATCCTTCACATGCGGAGTTCACAATAGGGTTCATGTACCTATGAGAATCTAATGCTGCCACTGATTTGACAGGAGATGGACCTCATGCCGTAATGCTCACTTGCCTGCTGCCCACCTCCTGCTGTGGCCTGGTTCCTAACAGGCCATGGACCAGCACTGGTCAGCAGCCCGGGGTTTGGGGACCCCTGTTCTACATAACTGAAACTTTGTACCTACTGACCCAACATTTCCCCTGCCCCTCAGCAACCATCCTTCTACTTTTTGCTTCTATGAGTTCAGCCTGGTAAGATTTCACAGATAAGTGAAATTGTGCAGTAGCATTTGTCTTTCTGTATCTAGCTTATTTCACTGAGGATAATGATCTCCAAATTCATCCATGCTGTTGTAAATGTAAGGCTGAATAGTATTCCATTGTGTATATAAACCACATTTTCTTTATCCATTCATCTGCTGATGGACATTTAGGTTGGTTCCATATCCTGGCTATTGTGAATAATGCTGCAACGAACATAGGAGTGCAGATATCTCTTTGACATATCAATTTCAATTTCTCTGGACACATACTCAGAAATGGGATTGCTGGATCACATAATTGTTCTATTATTATTTTTGGGGGAATCTCCATACTGTTTTCCATGACTGTACCAATTTACATTCCCACCAACACTGTACAACAGTTCCCTTTTCTCCACATCTTTACCAAAACTCGTTAGTTATCTTTTGGCTTTTTGATAACAGCTATTCTAACAGGTGTGAGATGATATATTATGTGGTTTTGATTTGCACTGCCCTGATGATTAGCGATGTTGAGCACCTTTTGATATACCTGTGGGACTTGTGTATGTTTTCTTTTGAGAAATGTCTATTCAGATCCTTTGCCCATTTTTTAATTGGGTTGTTTTCTTGTTATCACATTGTCTGAGTTCCTTATACAGTCATGTGCTGCAAAACGACATGTCAGTCAAGAACAAACTGCATATACAACAGTGGTCCCATAAGATTATAATACTGTATTTTTTACTGTGCTGTTTCCATGTTTAAATATACAAATACCACCGTGTTATAACTGCCTACTCAGTACAGTAACATGGTGTATAGGTTTGTAGTCTAGAAGCAATAGGCTGTACCATATAGCCTAGGTGTATTGTAGGCTATGCCATCTAGGTTTGTGTGATTACACTCTATGATGTCTGAACAACAAAATCACCAAACAACACATTTCTCCGAAAGTATCCTCATTGTTAAGCCATGCATGACTGTATTTTGGATATTAACCCCTTATCAGATGTATTATTTGCAAATATCTTCTCCCATTCCATAGACTGTCTCCTTTGCTGTACAAAAGCTTTTTAGTTTGATGCAATCCCATTTTGTATATTTTTGCTTTCGTTGCTTGTACTTTTGGGGTCATAGCCAAAAAATTATTGTCCAGATCCACTGTCAAGAAGCTTTTCCCGTGTGTTTTCTTCTAGTAGTTTTACAGTTTCAGGTCTCATGTTTAAGTACTAAGTATATTTTGAGTTCATTTTTGCAGATGGTATGAGATAAGGGTCCAGTTTCATTCTTTTGCATGCGGACATCCAGTTTTTCTGACACAATTTATTGAAGAAACTACCATTTCCCCATTGTGTGTTCTTGTTATCTTTGTTGAGGATCAATTGACTGTAAATGTGTGTATTTATTTCTGGGCCCTTTATTTTGGTCCATTGGTCTACATGTCTATTTTATGCTAACCACAATATTTTGATTACTATAGCTTCACAGTGTATTTTAAAATCAGAGAGTATGGGCCGGGCGCGGTGGCTCACGCCTGTAATCCCAGCACTTTGGGAGGCCGAGGCGGGCGGATCACGAGGTCAGGAGATCGAGACCATCCCGGCTAAAATGGTGAAACCCCGTCTCTACTAAAAAATACAAAAAATTAGCCGGGCGTAGTGGCGGGCGCCTGTAGTCCCAGCTACTTGGGAGGCTGAGGCAGGAGAATGGCGTGAACCCGGGAGGCGGAGCTTGCAGTGAGCCGAGATCCCGCCACTGCACTCCAGCCTGGGCGACAGAGCGAGACTCCGTCTCAAAAAAAAAAAAAAAAAAAATCAGAGAGTATGATGTCTCTAGCTTTGTTGTTGCTCAAGATTGCTTTGGCTATTCTGAGATGTTTGTGATTCCATGTGAATTTTAGAATTGTTTTTTCTATTTCTGTGATAAATGTCATTGAAATTTTGATAGTGACTGCACTGAATCTGTAGATTGCTTTGGGCTGTATGGATATTTTAACAATATGAATTCTTCCAATGCACAAACACAGGATATCCTTCCATTCATTTGTATCTTATTCAATTTCTTTCATTAATGTTTTATAGTTTTCTGTGTATAGATTTTTCACCTCCTTGGTTAAACTTAATTTTTCAGATAGTTCGTTATTAATGTACAGAAATGCAACTGATTTTTGTAAGATAATTTTGTATCTTGGAATGTTACTAAATTCATTTATTTAGTAACATTCAGTTTATTTTACAGTTTCAAAAACCTGTTAGAACTCTAATAGTTCTATCCATGAACATGGGCTATTGCTCCCTCTATTTAGTTCTTTGTTAATGACTTCCTGTAAAGTTTTATAACTTTCTGCATATAGGTCTTACACATTTTATTCCACTTATTGTTTGATATTTTGTTTCTTTTGTTGATATTGTAAACGATGTCCTTTTAAATAATACTTGTTTCAAATATAACCAATTTTGTATTGCTCATATATTCAACCACTTTAAGTAAACCTATTTTTTAAAAACTGTGGTAAAATATATACGTAACATACAATTAACCATTTTCAGGGGGACATTTCAAGGATATCACCAACATCCATATCCAAAAGTTTTTCATCTTCTCAAAATGAAACTCCATATCCATTAAATAATAACTCCCAAATCCCATTTCTCCCCATCCCTGGCAACCATCAATCTAGATTCTGTCTGTATGAATTTGATTACTCTAGGTACCTCATATAAGTGGAATTATAGGAATTATACAGTATTTGTTCTTTTGTATCTGGTTTATTTCACTTAGCATAATGTCTGAAGGTTTATTCATGGTGCAGCATGTATCAAGATTTCATTGCTTTTAAAGAGAGATGAATATTCCACTGTATGTATAAACTATATTTTGTCTATTCATTCATCCACTGTTAGATGTTTGGGTTGTTTCTACCTTTTGACTATGTGAATAATGTTGTTATGAACATTAAAACATATACAATAGCAATTATATGTTGAATACAACAGTGAAATTGTGCATCCTTTTCCTTGATGCTCTTAATATTTTCCCTACATAGAATGTTGTTGTCTTTTTGGTACATTCCCTTTATCGGTTAAAACAAAACAAAACAAAACCATCCCAAACCTTTCCAACTGTATCCTCCTGAATTCATGGTCCATCCTCTGCAAAATCCCTATCCTTAACATTTTCTCTAAGCATTCCCTTTCTTTTCTTATAAACCTTGTAACATATGCCTGGAGGTAGGTTAGGTGTAATCTTTGCTCCTTACTCTTCACAATTTCTTCCAGCTCATTATCTCTCACCCTGCTCCCTAAAATCCTCCAGCTTCTATTAAATTGAAGGCACTAGGATAAGTGCTGTCCAACAGAATTTTATGTGATGGTGAAAATCTATGCCTGTGCTGTCCAATATGATAGCCACTAGCCACATGTGACTACTGAGCACTTGCAATGTGGCTAGTATGATCAAGGAGCTAAATTTTTTATTTTATTTTATTTTAATGATTTAAATGTAATAGCCACATGTAGCTAATGGCTACCATATTAAACAAGAGAACCCTAGATTACAACACTTATGTTACTGTCATTTATAGATCTACAAGTCATTTTCCCCCTATATCTTGAAGATTTTTGTAGTTGGAGAAAAAAAATCCATGAACCAAAATTATTATCATAAATCTTGGTGATTGCCATTTCATGGAGAGAATACTCCCAATACTCTGGTTTCTTAGTTTCTGGACTTCTGCTCCAATGATCTTATCTTCTACCACCCTCAGCTTGCACTCCCTTTCTCATTCTGAATCCAGTGATTATTTGACTCCACTGTGGCTTCCAAACCACTGACCAGCCTACCTTTTCACTGTTCATCATCTTCCTCCTTTTACTTGGCTTAGTTTCCTCATCTGTCAATAAAACAACTCTCATATTTTCCGTCTTTCACCTCTTGTGCTACCCTTAACCCTTCTGGTACAAAAGCCTCGAAAAATCCCATCTCTGGTTAAATACAACTCTTGGCACTATTGAAAGCTTATGCTGAATATCTGAACCTGGCTGGAGAATACATAACTCTGCTGACTGGTTTTACTTTAAATTCATGATTAAAAAAAAGTCTTAAGTAGATGGATCCTACATAAGGTCTATCAAACCTATTACGTTTTCTTAGTTAACACACTCTCACACTCTCCAGATGACTTTTATATCCTCTCTTCTTTCTTCAAATCTCCAACACCTCTCCCATACCACCTTAACTAAAGACCTTGCTTTTTTATGTCTGAGGAAACAAAACAATCAGAACTTCTAAGAATCCCACCACGAAATCTACCAACTTACCTGCATCTGTAACTAAATGTGTTCCCTTCCCTGCTGTTAAAATGGATAAACTATCTTTTCTTTTTTTTTCTTTTTTTTTGAGACAGAGTCTTGCTCTGTCGCACAGGCTGGAGTGCAGTAGCGCGATCTCGGCTCACTGCAAGCTCCGCCTCCTGGGTTCACGCCATTCTCCTGCCTCAGCCTCCAGAGTAGCTGGGACTACAGGCGCCCATCACCACGTCTGACTAATTTTTTTGTATTTTTAGTAGAGACGGGGTTTCACCGTTTTAGCCAGGATGGTCTGGATCTCCTGACCTTGTGATCCGCCCGACTTGGCCTCCCAAAGTGCTGGAGTTACAGGCATGAGCCACCACTGCACCCGGCGTAAAATGGATAAACTCTTACTGATACACTAGGGTACTAAATCTAATTCTCTTTCATCTCATCAAGCATATCACTGGTATAATTCCTCATTCTCTTGTCATTTTTTTAGTTCTACTAGATTATTGCCACCAACATAAAACATATTGCCATTGATGCCATTTCCAAAAACAAAACAAAATACAACAAATCTTTGGTCCCACATTCCCTTCCAGGTACCATATTTCTCTGCAAACCACACTGCAGCCCTTTACAGTAAAATTCCTCAAAAGCATTCTCTATACTTGCTGTCCCACTTCTTCATCACCATTCTCTCAACTCCAGTCAGTTTTTCACCCCATTCTCTACTGAAATCACTCTTCCCGAGGTCACCAATCCTTTCCAATTGTCAGGTCATCTCAAACTTTGCACCTTATTCAAATTATTAGTAGCATTTGACAAAGGTGATCAATTTTTATTGAAACATTTTCTTTACCTGACTGTGAAAAATGTGTCCTACCCGTAATTTCCTTTGTTGATTTCTCCTCATTTTTCCAATCTCTACTTGGGAATCCTGGAGGTTCCCAGGGCTTTTCATCTATGCTCCCTCCTTAGGTAATCCCATCTAGCTTCAAATAGTTTACATTGATGATTATAACAATCTCTCTCTAGCCCCAACCACTCCCTTAAACTTGTACATCTAAGTCTGACCTTACATTTCACATGGATGTTTACTAGCCAACTCAAACACAGTATGTGTAAAATAGAACCCCAGCCCACAATGGTCCTTCTCTATACCTCTCTGAATATAAGTAAACAGCACCTCCATTATCTGATTCATGCCACCTCTTTGAAATCATCTCCTACCACCGGGTACCTTCCTAGCTTATTCTACTGTCAACACTAACCACTCTGCCATTTGAATGTATCTGGGCCTTTTTACTTGTTATTACCTCTACTTGGAATTCTCTTCTCCCAGATATCCAAATAAATGGTTCCCTCAATTCCTCCAGGTCTCTACTGAACTGTCATTTATCAACAATTCTCTTACCATGTTACATAACACAGTACTGTCCTGCCTTCCTTTCTACTTTTCTTCAGAGCATTTATTGCTATTTATGTCATTTATTTATTTGTAATTTATTCTTCCCCAGCAGAATGTTAGCTGTATGAAAATGGAACTTTGTCTAGATCATTCACTATTAAATGTCAAGCAATTACAGAGTGCATAGCACAGTATGAAATATTTTAAAATACAAACCATCAAAAGTTTTATTCAGATAAATAATGAAGCTGTTACCAAATAAAAATTATTATTTTCCACAAAAATACATAAGGGAGGCAATGAAAATATCTTCAAGGAAAATAAAAATTAACTTCAGCAAAATCTACCTCATTACTAAACCAAATCATAAATAAAAGTATAGGACTGGGCGTAATGGCTCATGCCTGTAATCCCAGCACTTTGAGAGGCTAAGGCGGGAGGATCACTTGAGATCAGGCGTTCGAAAACAGCCTGGACAACACAGTGAGACCCCATCACTATAAAAACTTTTTAAAAAATTAGTTGGGCATGGTGGCATGTGCCTGTAGTCCAGTTACTTGGGAGGCTGAGGCTGGAGGATCCTCTGAGCCCAGGAGTTGGGGGCTGCAGTAAGCTATGATCGTGCTACACTCCAGCCTGGATGCAAAAAATAAAAATAGAATTTTTTTTTCACAGCGTATAATTCTTTTCCCTAAAACTTTAAAGATATAATTCATAACTGTATATTTATAATCATTTCCATTCCTCCATGAAATTCAAATTTTAAGAAAAGACAATAAGGCCATAATTATTAAAAAGAATTTTTAAAGAAAACCCTTCACACCAAGGTTTTTCTATAAAATAGAAAAGAGAAACATAAAAAGGATCACAAGCTTTTCCATACTAATGTTTTTCCAATATAGAAATCTACACTGGTTTTCATGGGAAACATCTGTCTCTTCAGATACTATAAAAAGCAAAAGCAGCACTTTGTTAATTAAAAAGTTATATTTTAGTAATAAAGTTTTAAAAAGTCAGTCATGATTTTAGCCCAGAACCTTAAAAACACATTGATCCTTTGTACAAAATGTAATCGATTCTAAACAAAATAGTTGCTCTTTAACATTAAAGAATAGTATTGAATATAAATAAATTTAATTGAATATAAAATTTTACTTATATAAACTATAAATGAAAACTACCTGAAAAGATTGAGTACAATATCATGTTACTCAAATATGAAAATACACAAATTTGCAGAGGTCAAAATTCATACTCTGATCTCATATAAGTAATAGAACCAAATATGATTAACATAATATCAGCATGTGCAGCAACAGCAAATAATTCCATGTTAATCATCTAGTTTTCCATTATTCCTAAGGAAAAAACTTAAGATTTACTCACTAAAAAATAATGGAAATTGAAATCAGTAAAATTTTTTTGAAACCTATGATTCAGATATGCCTCAAACTTTCCAAAAGCATAATCTTTACGATTAAATGCAATTTTTTTGTATTCATACCTTCCATCAGTTGAATATTAAACATTACGTTGTCAAAGATATTGAAAGTGTTTCAACAAAAATGATTCTCTAAGGAGCAAAAACTAAGCACCAAGCTGTACCCAAAAATTACCTTATACCCAGTGCACTGCTTAAGGAGAAAAAATGTAGGTATCAAAGAATAGAGTACAAAGCAATTTAAAAATCCTTATTGATTATCATTATATTAACTTTAATAAGAATTACAAAGGAAATGAATATATCTTTCCTTTCCACAGGAAGTCTAACCTTTCATTAACTAAAGAATATTACTCACCGCCCATGTTTTAGTCAACCTGAAAATTGGGGCACTCTGTAGGCCAGAAACCACTGCCATAAGTGCATGAAGGTTATTCAGCTCATACAGTTTCTGAAGATTTGAAAAAAAATGGGGGAGAGGGATGAAAAAGAACAACATGAATACAAGAAAATTTAGACTAACAAGTACAATCTTGGCAACTGGTAGTGTTCCAGCATATATTACCTTCATTACTGAGAACTGTCTTTAGAGTACCCTGTGTTTACACTAAGTTATTTTGGTGCACAACAGAACTTACATGTTCTACCCTGGCATTGTCCCCAAACTCTGGGAATAAATCTACCTCTAGTTGAGTAATATATTAAGAAAACCAAGGTTATGTCTCATTATCAAGTTTACATGGTATGATCATGAAAGCTGGTTTCTAGTAAACAGTCTCCCTTATACTGAACTATTACTAAGCCTCTGCTTTATGTTTCAAGTTTCAATAAAGGGTCAACATCCAGGATTCTGATTTGGTTTCCCATCCAGTACTCCCATTATTCCAGGGCAAGGGAGAAACCTGCCTTTCACAGTACAGTCCCTCTCAATTTTCTGCTTCCTCCTACCCAAATCCCCAGATCCTTTTTCCCTCATTCGTGCTGAGACATTGATTTTACAGTCTGTATGCATAAAACTCCTACCTAACACTAGTTTCCAGCACTTTCCCATGAGATCTGCATAACATTTATTGCTAATTTCCCAGATTTTTAAATACTGCCTGATGCTTATATCCTGCAAGTCCTGTCTAAAAATCAGTCATTTTACAACTGTCCTAATCCTACAGCCAGGTAAGCCCCAGGTCTAGAAAATGCTGTGGATACAGCATTTAATTGAAAGCCCGAAGAAAACAAATAAAAACAAAATAAATTAATAACACAAAACATAATATAAACCCTCATCCAAGGTTATATAATCTAACTGGAAAACCATTCAATGAATGTATTTTAAGCATTTATTATACTAGGCACCATATTAGACTGCATATACAAAAATGAAAAAGACCTATCAAGAAGCTTCAGTCTAGTGAGACATGAAAACAAATACAAATCCAATTTGCATATTTCTAGAATAAAAGTATATATAGGGTTATATAAATAAAAGTATATATAGGGTTCTACAGAATAATCAGCCCCTAACTTTGTCTGAGAGATTCAGATTTCCAGAAATGACACTTGAGAGTGAGGGGCTATGAGAAAGAGGGAATACAATTTACAAAAAGCACAAAGGCATGAAGGTGTCTGGAAGCTGAATATGAGAAGTATCAGAGTACCAGAAGATGAAACCAGAAAGGGCCATTTTTACATGTGAAGCCTCTTTAAAGGCTAGATTTGCTCTCATAAGCAGTAAGAACTCCAGTGGAGGATTTGGAGAATTTTTAAATTTGAGAATGATATAACTGAATGCCAGGCATCGGTTCACAACCCTTTATCTGCAATTCTGAGATCTCAAACCTGAAAAGTCAAAGTTTTGTTTATTTGGTAGTGTGGTCTCAGGTTCACTAGGTGGGAAAATCTAACCTGATGTGAGGCTAATGACAGACTTCATTGATCTCACTTAAGGTGAATAATTACATGTTTTGCTCCAAAAATATTAAGTGTGTTTGATTTCAAGGTATTACATAAGCAGGAGGTGGAGGTGATTGTGATGAGCATACCACAGATGGTATATGAACTATACCACCTTTCTAAAATCTGGGGAAAAAAGTGTATTCCTAAATATATCTGGCCCCAAATGCTTTGGGTAAGATATTATGGATGTGTACTACATTTTGGAAAGATCAGGGAGCAGAAGGTGGCATACAGGAAGGGAATCAGTTCAGAGACTACAGTGAGAGATGATGAGAAGGATCTGATACATTAGTGTCAGTGGAGTTGAAGAGGGGGAATGGATTCAAAATTTAGTAAGGACTACATACCAGAAGTCTGGTAAATTAGACACCTTGACCTACTCTTCCAGTGAAAATAATTAAAAATATTGGGTAAGATATGAAACACATCTTATGAAAATTCACTGTAAAGCTAGCAATAAAGTAAGGAATACTTAGGGCCCTAAAACTAAGGAGAATCCAGAGATGTAAGCTGAACACCAAAGCTGGCAATCCCTTGGAGGACATTTGAAAATCTGGTTAGCTTTCCAAGCTTCATGGGACACATTGCCCAGGGCCTAATCTATGGTGGGGGTTCCAATAAGAGACTCTCATTGCATAAAGCAGAGACACTGAAGGACTCATTGCCTGAGCGTAAGGGCAGGATAGAAGTAATCCTTACCCACCATCAAGAGACTGCCAGACAACAATGCCTGCTGTGAACCTTAGTGCTAAGGGAAGAGGGGAGGGGTCTTATGGAGGTTTGCAGCCCAAATAACTACTTCATAGTAAGAATAAACAGAGGCCAGCCATGGTGACTCACACTTGTAATCCCAGCACTTCCGGCGGCTGAGGCAGGTGAACTGCTTGAGCCCAGGAGTTCATGAACAGCCTGGGCAACATGGCAAAACCTTGTCTCTATAAAAAAAACACAGAAATTAACCAGGTGCGTGGTGGCATGTGCCTGTAGTCCCAGCTACTGGGGAGGCTGAGATGGGAGGACTGCTTGAGCCCAGGAGGCACAGGTTGTGATGAGCCATGCTTGAGCCACTGCACTCTAGCCTGGGCAACCCAGCAAGACCCTGTCTCAAAAAAAAAAAAAAAAGAAAAAGAAAAACAACAAAAACTCATGCTGAACTAGTAGCTTCTGCCTAAGATGTAGAACAACATGAGAAACCATTGTTAAAGCCATAATGGCAAGAAAACAAAACAGATAAAACTTAGAAAACCATTTTATTAAAGACACTGGAGAGTTGTGGACACAAAGAACACAAATAACTAAATTCCAAAGTAAAAAAAACCAACAGCCTTTAAACAGTTTTTCCTCCCTGAGGGCATACGCTGAATCTCTACAAGGCTAGGCAAAGATGAAGGCTCCGACAGGCAGATTTTGCTAAAGTAAAATCTGTGGGCTGGTATAATAGACTAGAATCTGTAGGAGTCTCAAACCTAGAGTTGGCTCTGTGTCCACTGATTCACTCCTAATGGAACTTACTTTACTGTGTGTCAGTGCTGGAGGCTGACAGCTGGGTTAGAAAGCAGAGAGAGATCTCTGGGACTTAGATCCCAGGGTCCCTACTACAGCAAGGGGCCTGTACCATACAAAGTACAGATTTTGCCCTGAGTCATTTGTGACCAGAGGTTATATGAAACTAACTAAAGCTAAAACTCAACCCTATCCACCTCAATTCCTAATTGGATCAGAAAAATCAGCTTCTCTCTCTTTTTTCTTTTTTGAGACGTGGTCTCGCTCTGTTACCCAGGCTGGAGTGCACTGGCATGATCTCGGCTCACTGCAACCTCTGCCTCCCAGGTTCAAGTGATTCTCCTGCTTCAGCCTCCCGAGTAGCTGGGACTACAGGAGAGCCCCACCATGCATGGCTAATTTTTGTATTTTTAGTAGAGACAGGGTTTCACTATGTTGACCAGCTGGTCTCAAACTCCTGACCTCAGGTGATCTGCCCGCCTTGGCCTTCCAGAGTGCTAGGATTACAGGCGTGAGCCACCATGCCCAGCCAGAAAAATCAGCTTCTCATTCTTGTTCCCTCACAGAGGATTGGGCTTAACCACCCTGGGAGAAGAGAGTATTTACTCCAGTCTCTACCATTCTTTTAAATATAATGTTTAAAGGTAGAAAAGTCAGAAAGGAAGAAGTCAAATCTGCCTTTATTTTCAGGTAACACGACTGCATATGTAGCACCAAACAATTAGAAAATGAGCCGGAAAAACATTTACAATAATATCAGAACATTGGCTGTCTATTAGAAATAATGATATACAACAGTGCTTCACTGAAAATAAAGCACTGCTGAGAGAAATTAAAGAAAACTTAAACAGAAATAAACCATGTTTGTGGATTGAAAGTCTTAATGTTGTTATCAATTCTTCCCAAAGTGATCTATAAATTCAATAAAACCTCAATCAAAAATGGAAGCAGGCCATGTTGTAGAAATTGACAAGCTACTTCTAAAATTTCCACAGATATAAAATGGAGATAGCATAGCCAAGACAATCTTGAAGAAGAAAAAAAAATTAGAACACTATCAGATTGCAAGGCTTACTACAAAGCTACAGTAATTAAGACAAAGAGATATTGGAATAAGAATAGACAAATAAATCAAAGGAACAGAAATATACCTACACGTATTTGATCAAGTGATTTTCAACCAAAATGTCAAAGCAGTTAAACAGAGAAAAGAATGGAGTTAGCACAATTAGATATTCTTTTTTTTTTTTTTTTTTTTTTTTTTAAATTGAGACAGAGTCTCTGTCGCCCAGGCTGGAGTGCAGTGGCGTGATCTTAGCTCACCACAAACTCTGCCTTCCAGGTTCAAGTGATTCTCCTGCCTCAGCCTTCTGAGTAGCTGGGATTACAGGAGTGCGCCAACACACCTAGTTATTTTTGTATTTTTTAGTAGAGTTTGGCCAGGCTGGTCTCAAACTCCTGACCTCAAGTGATCTGCCCGCCTCAGCCTCCCAAAGTGCTAGGATTATAGGTGTGAGCCACTGTGCCTGGCCTAGATATTATTATGAGGAAAAAAAATGAACCTTAACTCCTACACCTTCCACCAGACACAAAAATTAATTTGGCTGGGTGCGGTGGCTCACACCTGTAATCCCAGGACTTTGGGATGCCGAGGTGGGTGGATCACCTGAGTCAGGAGTTCGAGACCAGCTTGGCCAACATGGTGAAACCCCATCTCTACTAAAAATACAAAAATTAGCTGGGCGTGGTGGTGCATGCCTGTAATCTCAGCTACTTGGGAGGCTGAGGCAGGAGAATCGCTTGAACCTAGGAGGCAGAGGTTGCAATGAGCTGAGATTGCGCCATTGTGCACCAGCCTGGGTGACATGAGCAAAACTCCATCTCCAAAAAAAAAAAAAAAATCACTTCAAACTATAATACTTCTAGGAGTGATCAAAGGAAAATGTCTTTATGACCCTGGATTAAGAAAAGATTTATTAAACAAGACACAAAACACAGTAACCACAAAGATAAAAATAACAAATGGGACTTCATTAAAATTGAACAGTTCTGCTCACTAACCAAAAGACAGCATTAAAATAAAAACGCAAGGCATAGACTAGGAAAAAATACTTATTTCTGAAAAGGGTTTGTATTCAGAATACATTAAAAAAATCCCTACAACTTGATAAGACAAACAATCCTATTAAAAATATGGGTAAAAGATTTGAAAGGATAGTATCACAAAACAAAATATCCAAATGGTCCACATACATATGAAAAGATACTCAACCATCACTATCATCAGAAAAATACAAATTAAAACCACAGTAAGATACTATTACACACCCAAAAAGAAAGGCCAGATTAAAAAAAAAAATTAAACACCAAGTACTGGCAAGATGTGTGGAGTAACTGGAAGACTTATTGCTGACTGCAATTTAAAGTGGTAAAACCAACCGGGTTATGTTGGAAAATAACAATATTTGGCAGTTTCTAATAAAGTTAAAACATATTCCTAATCTATAACCCAGAAAGTCCACCATTCCTAGGTATAATCCAAGAAAACTCAATGCATACTCCACAAAAATGTTCATAACAGTTTTATTCATAAAAGCCAAAGTAAAAACAATATGTGCATTAATAAGCAAATGATGAAGAAATTGTGGAATATCCATACACTGGAAATCTACTTAGCAATAAAAGAATTATCAATAACATGCAATGTGGATGAATCTCAACAACATGGTGAGCAAGAGTAGTCAACCACAAGTAATAGCTTTCTGTAGGATCCCACTTACATAAATTCCCAGAACAGCCTTCATCTATATTGTAGCAGTGGGGTGTGTTGGCAGGGCAATATGGAGGAAATGTTGTTTGGGAAAATGCTTGAAGGAACTTTGTTGCAACATGAAGGGCTTTATGAGAAATGGGCCCTTACCAGACACTGAATCTGCTGACACCTTGATATTGGACTTAATCCTCACAGTTCTCTAGAATGTTCACTGTTTATAAATGTTTGTTTTTACAAGCCACCTAGTTAACGGTATTTTTGTTATAGCAGCCAGAACAGACCAAGACAGAAATTAAGGATCAGTAAATCTGACTACTAAAATTAAGAACATGTAAATCAGAAAATACGAAAAAAGTGGTAAGACAAGCTACAAATAGCAAGATACATGCAAAGCTTATGAGAACTAGCATCTAGAGTTATATAAAGAACTCCTACAAAAATCAATAGAAGACTGCCAGGCGCGGTGGCTCACACCTGTAATCCCAGAACTTTGGGAGGCCGAGATGGGAGGATCACCTGAGGTCAGGAGTTCAAGACCAGCCTGACCAACATGGCAAAACCCTGTCCTACTAAAAAAAAAATACAAAAATTAACTGGGCATGGTGGTGTGAGCCTGTAATCCCAGCTACTTGGGAGGCTGAGGCAGGAGAATCACATGAACCCAGGAGGTGGAGGGTGCAGTGAACCAAGATTGCACCACTGCACTACAGCCTGGGCAACAGAGTGAGAATCCATCAAAATAAATAAATAAATAAAAACAAACAAACAAAAAAACCAAAACACACACAATAAAAGACCAATACCAAAACAGAAAACTGCTGAAAGATCTTAAACAGACCTTTCAAGAGAGAAAACCTAAATGGCCAACATAGAAAAGATGTTCACTCCTATCAGATTCAATGAAAAGCAATTAAAACTAAAATGAGATAAATTTCACATCCACCAGAATTGGCAACAATGAAAAATTTTGACAATATCAGATGGTGACATGGATGTGGAGCAACAGGCATCTTCATACATTGCTAGTGAGCATATATAAATATAAATCAGTTTGGAGGTTATCTATAACAAAGCTAAAGAGACGAGGGGACAGGTACAGTAGCTCACACTTGTAATCCCAGCACTTTGGGAGGCCAACATGGGAGGATCACTTGAGCACAGGAGTTCAAGACCAGCCTGGGCAACATAATGAGACCTTGTCTTTACAAAACAAAACAAAACAAAAAAACAGAAATTAGCCACAGGTGGTGGCATATGCCTGTAATCCTAACTATTCGGGAGGCTGAGGTAGGAAGATTGCCTGGGCCCAGAAGGTCAAGGATGCAGTGAGTTGGGATCACACCACTGGCCTTCAGCCTGGGTGACAGAACAACAAGATCCTGTCTAAAAAAAGAGAGAGAGAGAGAGACTCAGTAATTTCACTGCTAGTACGAACTCTGTATTTCTAGGGCTTCAACCGTCACATAAGCACCAAGAGACTCATACAAGAATGCTTATGGCAGCAGGGCTCATAATAGCCAAGAATTTGGAAATAATCCAAAGTACATTGAATAATTTGTGATATATACAAATAGGATACTCTACAACAGAGCTACTCCCAAAACCATTAAGTAACACTGCTGAGTTATGAAAGTACAAAAGTAAATATGGAATAATTCAATTTAAACAAAATCCAAAAGCATATATTTGCAGCAACATATGATTCAGAAACATACACACTGTAAAAGAAAAAATTCAAGGCAGTAGTTCCCATTGCAGTAGAAGGGAAGGAGGTGGCATATGAAGAGGCATATGAAAATTCCCAGTGGTCAGTGGGTGCATGGGTATCCACATTATCATTCTTTTGATACTTTAAATATTCTTATATTCTTTTGTATCTATGTGATGGTAAGTTTGATGTGTCAACTTGTCTAGACTATTAGTATCAGTTATTTAATCGAACCCTAATCTAGGTGTTGTCATGAAGATATTTTGTAGATGCGGTTAACATCTACAAATCAAGAGATTCCACTTGATAATGTGTGTGGGCCTCATTTGATCAGTTGAAAGGCTTTAACATTGAAAATTGGTGTTTCCTGGAAAAGAAATTCTGCTTCAAGACTAGTGCCTAAACTCCTGAGTTTCCAGCCTGTTGGCCTACCCTACAGATTTCATACTTGCCAGTCCCTTCAATTGTATAAGCCAATTCCTAAAATCTATTTATACATTTTATATTTAGATCTCTTTATACATGTTTATACAGAATGCTACGGTTCTATCTCTCTGGAGAATGCTGACTGATAACAATACTCAAGTAAGAGACCTGCCAGTTTTATAACAAACAGTATAGAAGGCAGAGAGTCAGAATAGAAGGGTTTAAGGGACAATGAGAAAAAAACAATTATGAGTTTAGAGCTTGGGATGAAGGCAAGTGCTGTCAAAAATAATTCAAAGTCTGAACTGAAGTTAAATGATTGTTTGATGAAGACAGTGGTAGGTTTGAGCAAAATTTGGTGGTTTTGAGTGGAACATACAAGTAAATTTAAAAACTAACAAAAATATCAGAAAATAATAATGCAGAATCCATGAAGAATCATTAATTTTTATTAGTTAAAAACCAGTATTGGCCGGGTGCAGTGGCTCACGCCTATAATCCCAGCACTTTGGGAGGCCGAGGTGGGAGATCACTTGAGGTCAGGTGTTCAAGACCAGCCTGGCCCAACATGGTGAAACCCCATCTCTACTAAAAATACAAAAATTAGCCGGGTGTGGTGGCATGCACCTGTAGTCCCAGATACTTGGGAAGCTGAGATGTGAGAATCACTTGAACTCGGGAGGCAGAGTTTGCAGTGAGCCGAGATCGCACCACTGCACTCCAGCCTGGGCCACAGAGCGCAACACCACCTCCAAAAAAAAAAAAAAAAAAAAAGTATTTACCTAACATATCATCACAAAGAATTTCTAAAAATATTTTGACACTTTTGCAAAATATCAAATTTGTAGAAGGCTAGCTCTGCCACCTAGTGCCATAGAATGTTAGAATACAATTGCTCCCATGTTCTTAAGGAAAATAGGAAAGAGTTATGACTTTTAATAACTGTAAACATGATATCCTCATTTTATTCTGCCTTCTTTCATTCACATGTGAGGAAAGTTACGTATTTATTACAAGAGTAATGAATGAACGTGGCTACAATTACCATACTTCTTAGTGAACTTAACATTAAAGGAAACCAAAAATATATTACCCTAAAATATACTTCTTTGACATATTTTGAGATAGCTATTCAGAGGGCCTACGGACAGATATAGCCCTGAAAAGCTGCCCTTTGTGGAGGAGATTCACATCTGTAAAGAAAATCTACAATGGTGAAATGAACAGCTAGGCTTCCTCTGAGCATCCTCTCCCTTGTCCAGATCTAGGAAAGATTAACTCAACCATAGGCGACCCCAACTATTCTTTCTGAGGGTAGCTCTGAGATTATCTGAGATACTTCCTTGAGATATCTGTCTTTGCTTAACATGTTCTTCTCCCTTCGCTCTCCCATAACCTGTAATGCCACCTCCCCTAGAGCTCAGAGAAACTTGGTCTCAGGACTTCGTTCTCTGGGCTCATTCATTTTACCTGAAAATCACTTACTCTTATGTACCCCCTCCCCCAAAACTCCCCTCTCCCCAGTGAAGAAGATATTTAAGCATCAACCATTTGGCCCTGCTTTGAGTTTATACTTTGTATGACTCCTATGCACATGTAATAAATCTGCTATGCTTTTCTCTCATTAACTTGTCTTTTGTTACATCGCTGCCGGCCTTGACCCTTCATGATGGAGAGGGAAGGGCTCACTCCCCCTTTCTGCCCCTCCAACCAAATTCAGAGTTGTTACAAGTTTTAATAAAATCTTGGTATCCTTTGTAGAACATCCTGTCTCACCCTTCTAATTTCCAACTACCTTTGAAATCCATTCTCCATTTCTCTTGCTGTATTTATTATCTATGTCACACAATAACTGTTCAGTTAACAATGTGGTAATATCACATATACCATTCTCTTAAAAATAAAGTCTTATTCTTCACATGGTTCACTTCAGAAGTGAAGTAGTATTCTCCTACTTAATTCTTTATGGCTTTCTTCATCACCTGCAGAATAGTCCAATATTTTATAAATATCATACTTTACCATAATCCAACCTTTGTCTACTTATTCAGTAAAACAGATCACATAATTCAGCTACTCAGAGAGTGGGAGGAAGAATATAAAAGAAAAGGTAGGAAAACAGGAAGAATAAAGGAAAAGGCAGAGAAAGTAGGCATCCAATTTTAAAAATTGACTTATATCAATGAGTCTTATTTTTCCAGTATCAATAAACAGTGAATAAAGCATCACGAATATTTATTCACTTACAAACATTTATGAATGGTTGAACTCAAAAATAAAAACACAAGTTTTTCTTACCTTAGCAGTTTTAATATAGTGGCTCAAAACTTCTGCTCTAATTTTTAATGTTTGAGCATGAAGAATCTCTCTAACAACCCAAAAGCTTACCTGTAAATAAAAATTTTAAATAAATATCACTATGATTTTTAATTTGTAAGTTTTTTTGCTGTATTTTAAAAAATTTTGGCAGAATTAGGTAAGCTCTAAAATTAAACATTGTTAAAGGTGCTACTTATAGCAGGTTTTTCTGTGGCTGTGTAATTCTACATGACTGTTTATTTAGATTGAGTAGAATCATAAGTGAAGATTCCCAAGTAGGGTTTTCTTGGTGTAAATAAAATATCAAAAGAAAAAAATATATATCTAAGTTAACATTCTAAGATTAAAACTGCATTTCAAAAATTTTGTAATGCTTTCAAATAAAACCATCTTGATTTAAAAAATAATTAAAACTAATTTATTAGAAGGCAGATTAGATATATAATATGATAATGCTCTACTCTGAATAGTTTGCTTATTATATGATACAATATGTCCATGTAATACACTTTAATTCATGTACTATGAAAAAAAGTCAAAGCACTGTAAGTTGGTTCACTTATACAAATCTAAATACAGAATATAGTTCAAAATTATTGTGCAACAAATAATGCCACTGCCTCATATTTCTTCACATTTTTAATGAGAAATATTTCAGATTTTACTTGCAATTTTCATCTGTAAAGAAATGTCATTATGTATGTATTTTACATATATTTTACAAATATATATGTAAATATAAAGTATACATATTTTACAAAGTCACCTTAATACTTGTTACTATACTTGGGCTACTAAAAGTAATAATCCTCCCCAGTTCTAACAAGGTTTACTCCTAAAAAAAAAAAAAAAATCAAGTTATGCTATGGAAATCTTAACAATAACCTTAGCAAATATCAACTACGAATTCAAATCTAAAGTGCATGTTCACCAACTTAATTAAATTTAACATCAGGCAAATTTTAATACAAATATTATGGTGATTTGTTTTGTTTTGGAGACAGAGTCTTGTTCTGTTGCCCAGGCTGGAGTGTAGTGGGGTGATCTCGGCTAACTGCAACCTCTGCCTCCCAGGCTCAAGTGATTCTCCTGACTCAGCCTCCTAAGTAGCTGAGACCACAGGTGTAAGCTGCCATGCCCAGCTAATTTTTGTATTTTTTTAAATTGAGACAGGGTTTCACCACGTTGCCCAAGCTGGTCTCAAACTCCCGAGCTCAGGTGATCCACCAGCCTCTGCCTCCCAAAGTGCTGGGATTACAGGCATGAGCCACTACACCTGGCCAACGTGACTTTTTTTTTTTTTAAGACAAGGTCTTAGTATGTTGCCCAAGCTGGTCTTGAACTCTTGGGCTCAAGTGATCCTCCTGTCTCAGCCGCCCAGCAGCTGGAACTACAGGCACTTGCCACTGCACCTGGCTTAGACAAATGCTGTGGTGATTTTAAGCATACATTCTTTGTCACTCTCTATCAAAAGTTAGGACGTATATCACTTCTTACTGAATCTGGGCAGGCTTGTGACTGCTTTGATGAAGAAAGTGTTAGTGAAAGTGACACTGACTTCCAGGACGAGGTCATAAAAGACCATGCAGCCCCTGCCTCGATTGCTGGAACATTCTCTTGGAGAGCCCTAAGCTACTATGTAATAAATCCAGCCACCCCGAGACCCCAATACTGGAAGGGTAAGTGTACGTGCTCCCCAAATGACAGTCCATTAAAGCCAACTACATTTAAGAACACTGACCCAGAATAACCAACACCAAGACATGGTTTCATAAAATTACTGGACTCACAAGAAAAAGTATTTTTGCTATCAACCCCTAGAATTGCTGGGTTACATATAACAAACTGTTTTTTTTTAATGTATTTCTGAATTGGAAGAAAAATAAAGGATTTCCTCTAGAGATCAAAAACAAATAAGGAAATAAAAGCAAAGCAGTGGTTACAAGAGTGGGTACTGTAACTGCCCTTGGAGGATTTCCTATCTCGGTGACATTAGGGGCTTGGGACTTAATGCTCCTTCAAAGACATAATACAAGGCCTCACACCTCTCCGCTCCTCCATTTCTATCTAATGCTACTCAAAGGTCTACAATCTCAGTGAAAAGGCAGACTAAAACAATTCACTTATTTTTCAACTCCCTTGAAAAAGGGAGACAACATACAAGTGCATCTATAATAATGTAAGCTCTGGGTGGTCAAGGAGAAAAAAGAAAAACTCTTTCATAAGAATTTGTAGACTGAGAAGAGTGACTCATGCTTACAATCACAGTGCCTTGGGAGGCTGAGGCAGGAGGATCGCTTGAGGCCAGGAGTTCGAGACCAGCTTGGGCAACATAGTGAGACCTCATCTCCACAAAACATTCTTTTTAAATTAGTCTGGCGTGGTGGTGCATGCCTGTAGTCCTGGCTACCTGAGAGGCTGAGTCAGGAGGACTGGTTGCAGTGAGCTATGACTGCAGCACTGTACTCCAGCTTGGGTGACAGAGACCCTGTCTCTAAAAAAAGAAAAAATTAATTTAATTTTAAAAGAAGAATTTGTTAACTACAGGCTGCCTTTAACTGGATTTGGTATTTAAATTTTTACTACAGAGAAGTACAAAGATGCCCCAAGCAAAACAATAAACATAAAAAACAGTCCCAGGTCTGCGACAACCCTACGTATGAGCAAAAGCAAACAAAAAGCCTCTTAGAATAATGTATTCCCTCAATTGAGGCAGCAGCAAAATTCTCATGAATAAAGCTTAAACAGACACGAGCTTTCAAGCCAAAGATACAAAATTCACTATATATCTTTGAAAAAACCACTTTAAGAATGAGCAGAAATAGAGTAGTAGTACCCCAAGAAGTTCCAATAATAACACAGAAACTATGTTGAAAATTAATAAATTTTAAAAATAAAATAAAAATAAGAAAAGAGCATGACTGGTGTAAAAGCATAGAGATTTGAAACAGATAAAACACATCTGAAGAGAATCAGTGAACTGAAATGTAGATCTGAGGAAATCACTCAGAATGGAGGACAAAAACAGAGAGAAAATATGTAAGGTTAAGAGACAAGCAGGAAAGAATGTCAAGTTCCAATAAATTTTCAATAGGAGTTACAGAGAAAAAAAGAGATCATGCACAGAGACAATACTTGAGAGATACTGGCTGAAAATATTCCAGAACTGATGTAAAAAGTTAAATTATTTCTTAAGGAAAAAGTATATATTGAGGAACTGAATTTCAGACACAGTATCAAAATTTATAAACTCACATGATTGAATCTTCTTGTGAAGGCAACTGCATTTGGTGCAGAACTATATTTTTCTTTTTTATTCCATCCACAACTTGAAAGCTCCTGGAAAATTAAGGTGAAAATTAAATTTAAGTAATAGCCTAGTTTTTTTCTGCCAGATTAAGGCTTTCAAAACATTAAAGACAGTTTGTGTTCTTTTCTAGAATCACTTTATTTAATGGGAACATACATAATATTATATCCATTCAGTTGGATCACAAAAGCAAATTTGATTAGCAGGACATAAGAGAGCACAACGACTATGAAAACATAGGCAAATTTACATTCCACAGGCAGAATACTGGTGGATTCTTTTCTGAAAAGATTTGAATCCCAAGAGGAAAAGATCCACAGATAAAGATGAGCATCCCACAACATACAGTGAAGACTATTCAGTCACCCAGAGCTCCCAATCAGCTTTCTAGTATCTCACTCTTTGAGCTAACAGTCAATTACCCCAAACACTTGAAGAAACCTTTAATAAAAGGGATCATGATCCCCAAAAAGTGCCTGTCGACAGAATACAAAATGCCCACAAACTTGTATATTAAAAAATTAATTTTCATTTTACACTAACCTCTAACTGAAATAAGACAGTCCTTTTAGTTATAAATGTAGGCTACAGATTACAGTGGCATTGGCAACACATGTGATGTAGTTACCAATCAAAATCACTGATATTTTCATATCACATTACAGTTGATGCAGATACCTTAAAAATATCATTTACACTCATCACTGCTTCAAACTTATGGTAGTTATTTTATTTTTTTGAGACAGGGTCTTCCTCTGTTGCCCAGGCTGGAGTATACTGGTAGGGTCATAGTTCGCTGCAGCTTTATCTCCCTGTCTCAGGCAATTCTTCCACCTCAGCCTTCCAAGTAGCTGGGGCTACAGGTGTGTACCACCACATTCGGCTAATTTTGTTTGTATTTTTTGTAGAGACAGGGTCTCGCTATGTTGGCCAGACTGGACTTGAAGTCCTTTGCTGAAGCAATCCTACTGCCTCAGCCTCTCAAAGTGCTGGGATTACAGGCATGAATTATCACACCCAGATACGGTAGTATTTAAGACTGACCTCTAGATTTTAATACATTAAGGGCAAAGAAGCACATGTATTGCTGTGTAACAGCTTTACAAAATATTTTGTTAAGTATATTTTAATAGAACTGATTTCCTTTTAAAGAAGGGTTAGCATTCCATAGGCTTCAGCCTGCCGGACGAGTCCAAGGTCCGAAACAGGTTAACAAACTTCTGTAATACAACAATAGCCAGGGAGAGAGAGAACCACAACAAAAAAAGAAAAAGAACTGAGGAAATAGAGTTAGGGCAGAGAACGAGTTAGGGCAGGGAGCGAAGAAAACTGAGAAAAAAAGAAGCCAAAACCATATAATTATTATTTTTTAATACATGAGAAAAAGACATTGTACCCACTAAGCAAAAACAGGAGGATATATAAAAAGAAATATTCAGAGAACAAAATAGAGCTTTTAGAAATAAAAAATATAAGAGAAATTTGAAAGTCAGTAGAAGAGTTGTGAAATAAAGGTGACTAAATCTTTTAAACAAAAAGTTAATGATAGGAGTAAAATGTTGTTATGCTAATTTGAAGACCATAAGAGTCAACATCTGAATAACAGTAATTTTAAGAGGGAACAGAGAAAACTGATCAGAGATTCAAAAACAAAACAACAACAAAAAACAGCACATATGGAAAACAGGCATCAGAAGGTATCAGATATCTTAATAGCAGCACTGGAAGTTAAAAAACAACTGAAGCAATGCCTTCAATTTTGAAGAATTCAATTTTCTAGAATTCTATATCCAACACAAATATCAATGAAGTCTGAAAGTAGACTACAGACATTTTCAGACATGAACATCTCAGAGAATTTGTCTTCTATGTACCTACTCTCTGAGAACTAGTAGAGTATGTGCTTTATCAAAACAAACTAGCAAACAAAGAAAAAGGAAGATATGAGACCCAGGAAACTGAAAAGCCAATATAGAAAAAAAATATATATATATTGGGAATCCTCTGATTAACAGCAATGGGAGATCCTGGGGCAAAGCTATGAGCAGACCTTTAAGAACAAGAGTCAAGAAAGGAGCAAGAGGACAGAAATTCCAACAGACATCTGTTTCTGAAAGTGAAAAAAAAAATTCCTTATGTGTTTGGAAATATTAAGAAGAGACATTCAGTACATTCACTTCTGGCAGAAATTTAGTGATGGATACAAAGAAAACTAAAGTACATTTTAGCTCAAAGAAAACAAAACTTAAGTACAGTTCGATTGTAAAAAATATAGTTACTTAGTCAAAATTGTGATATAACTGTATGTGCAAAAGAAGGAGAAATGAATTATATAAATGGGGGGAGAGAATATAAGACAGTGAAATCATCTTCTATAGTAAAGAGTTAACATATCATACTTAAAATAGAAAAATCAAGGAAAAGTAAGGATTTAGATATATTATGTGAAAAACAGACATAAATTCCTCAAAGAAGAAACAGCTAGCCAACTATCTGATCTTTGACAAACCTGAGAAAAACAAGCAATGGGGAAAGGATTCCCTATTTAATAAATGGTGCTGGGAAAACTGGCTAGCCATATGTAGAAAGCTGAAACTGGATCCCTTCCTTACACCTTATACAAAAATCAATTCAAGATGGATTAAAGACTTAAACGTTAGACCTAAAACCATAAAAACCCTAGAAGAAAACCCAGGCATTACCATTCAGGACATAGGCATGGGCAAGGACTTCATGTCTAAAACACCAAAAGCAATGGCAACAAAAGCCAAAATTGACAAATGGGATCTAATTAAACTAAAGAGCTTCTGCACACCAAAAGAAACTACCATCAGAGTGAACAGGCAACCTACAAAATGGGAGAAAATTTTTGCAACCTACTCATCTGACAAAGGGCTAATATCCAGAATCTACAATGAACTCAAACAAATTTACAAGAAAAAAACAAACAACCCCATCAAAAAATGGGTGAAGGACATGAACAGACACTTCTCAAAAGAAGACATTTATGCAGCCAAAAAACACATGAAAAAATGCTCATCACCACTGGCCATCAGAGAAATGCAAATCAAAACCACAATGAGATACCATCTCACACCAGTTAGAATGGCAATCATTAAAAAGTCAGGAAACAACAGGTGCTGGAGAGGATGTGGAGAAATAGGAACACTTTTACACTGTTGGTGGGACTGTAAACTAGTTCAACCATTGTGGAAGTCAGTGTGGCGATTCCTCAGGGATCTAGAACTAGAAATACCATTTGACCCAGCCATCCCATTACTGGGTATATACCCAAAGGACTATAAATCATGCTGCTATAAAGACACATGCACACGTATGTTTATTGCGGCATTATTCACAATAGCAAAGACTTGGAACCAACCCAAATGTCCAACAATGATAGACTGGATTAAGAAAATGTGGCACATATACACCATGGAATACTATGCAGCCATAAAAAATGATGAGTTCATGTCCTCTGTAGGGACATGGATGAAATTGGAAATCATCATTCTCAGTAAACTATCGCAAGAACAAAAAACCAAACACCGCATATTCTCACTCATAGGTGGGAACTGAACAATGAGATCACATGGACACAGGAAGGGGAACGTCACACTCTGGGGACTGTTGTGGGGTGGGGGGAGGGGGGAGGGATAGCATTGGGAGATATACCTAATGCTAGATGACGAGTTAGTGGGTGCAGCACACCAGCATGGCACATGTATACATATGTAACTAACCTGCACAATGTGCACATGTACCCTAAAACTTAAAGTATAATAATAAATAAATCAATTAATTAAAAAAAAAAAAAAAAGAAGAAACAGCTAAGAGATCTGGGTGGGAGTGGAGCTCCAGGATCGAGGTTGGAAAGATGCGAATAACTGAGTTAGGATTTTGCTATATTTTGTTCTCTTATGCAAATATTTGACTTCTTAAACATGATACATGCAAAACTTCAATAAAATCTTAAATTAAATTAGAAACCAAAAAAAAAAAAAGGAATAGATTGAGTCAGGGGAAGATTGAGGAAACAGTTAAGATGATACTATAGTCCTTCAAGAAAAAAGTAATGTTCCCTCAACCAGGGCACTGTCAGTGGATATGGATACGATAGACTCAAGATACTCTGGAGGCAGACAGGACTTCATCAAGAATTGGACTCATGTGATGTAAGCTAAAAACGAAGTCTGCAGAAGTACTAAGATTCCAGGTTTCTGCTTTGAGCAACTGAGATAGGGAATACTGAGGGGAGAGATGACAATTATTTCTACACAGTAGATAAGGAGTGAATGCTGTGGAGATAAAAACTGCCTTTTTAAATCTAAAATTAGATCATATCTTTCAAGCTTGAAATTTCTGAAAGAAATAATGAAATGATAAAAAGCAATTCTATAGCAAAAATAAAAATTTCTGGATATTCAATTAGCCTAGCTATATGATCATTTTATATTATCTCCCTGTAAAAAAAGAAAACATTTAGTAGTAAAAATTATATTCACACAAAAATATTATGACAATGATACTGAAAACATCAAACTGCTAGAAACATTTTTGTTCTTTCCAAAATCACAGCATACATACACAACTACATAAAGATGTCATATTTTAGGATAAAATTCCTAAGATTAAATCCCTAAGTAACTGAATTCGTTTTTAGCCAATTACTATAATTACAAAACTTATATTAATGCTATAATCAAAGTGTCTATCAAATTAAACTTATCAAACCACTCAAAGTAGCCATTTGACAAAGAAGTCAAACTCCATTATAGACCTTTACACAAAAGGCTGATTTCATTTTCCTATTGTTAAGTAATGCTATAATTACAAATAATGAATATCCTTGCACCTCTTCTGACATTTCTGATTATTTCTTAAAAATATAGTCCTACAAGAAATCACGAGGTCAAAGAGTATGAACCTTTTCAAGGCTCTGCTACCTGTCAAACTGCCCTCCTGAAATACTGAATCATTTACACTCCCACGAGAAATGAATGTAAGTTTCACAACACTCTTATCAAAATGAGGTACATAGTTGACCCTTGAACAACATGGGTTTGAACTGTGTGGGTCCACTCATACACAGATTTTTTTCAAAAAATATTTTGGAAATTTTGTCTTGAAGATTTGCAACAATTTGAAAAAACTTGCAGACAAACCACATGGCTTGGAGTATCGAAAAATTAAGAAAAAGCTAGGGATGGCGTGAATGTATAAAATACTAGTCTATTTTATCATTTACTACCATAAAATACACACAAATGTATTTAAAAAAGTTAACATTTATCAAAATTTATGCACACCAACAGACCTTACATGCTGCCATATGCAGTCCAGAGAAATGTAACAAACATAAAGGTGCAATATTAAATCATAACTGCATAAAATTAACCATAGTACATACTGTTCTACTATAATAATTTTGTACCCACCTCGTGTTGCTCTTACAGTGAGTTTAAGTGTAGAGAGTATTCCCTTAAAACACCCTGTGATGACACTACTTATCTCCACATGAGCAGTTCCTATCTCCAGTAAATTGTATTATCACAGTAAAATGTGATTTCTCACGGTTCTCACGTTATTTTTCATCGTGTTTAGTGCAATATCCTAAACCTTGAATAACACCATGGGACCCATAAGAAGCACCACTAGAGATGCTGGAAGTGCTCCTAAGAAGCAAAGAAAAGTCATGACATTTCAAGAACAAGTTGCATTGCTTGATATGTACCATAGACTGAGGTCCTGCTGCCATTTCAGTCAATATATCTTATAAACAGACTATGTAAACTTATGATGTACAATACAGTACTGTAAATGTATTTTTCCTAATAACATTTTCTTTTTTCTAGCTTACTTTAAGAATATATTATATAATATATATAACATACAAACTATGTGTTAATCGACTGTTTATGTTATCAATAAGGCTTCCAGTCAATGGTAGGCTATGAGTAGTTGAGTTTTACCTGCAAATTTTCGACTTCTGGGAGCCTGGTGTTTCTAACTCCAGAGACATTCAAGGGTAAAGTGTAGTTCTGATTATTGTTGTATGAGATAGGCTAGTGATGTAACACTGTTTCATGGGGGAAATGTTTTCTGATACAGAAACTACCATCTTATGAGGTTCAAAAACATTTTCTCTTGTTTTCTAATTATAAGCTTCTTTAGAATGGAGGGCTTCAAACGGAATTTTAACCCAGCTGCTTCCAAAGAATGTGACTACACACCTCTCCCTCCCTCCCTCCCTCCCTTCTACCCATCAAGTCACCTTTTGTTAATTCCTCTGGTGTGGTGTTTATTAGCTCTTGAATTTCTCCAAGATCCATATCTCGAAACTCTTAGCTCCCTACCTTTTTTGCCATATCCACAATCTCTTTCATGATTTCCTTTCAGTCACCTTCCAACAGTTTTCCTCAAGTGACAAAGCATTTTTTCCATTAAATTAATGATGCAGAAATGTTCTAAGAATTGGACGGACTTTCCAAAACCTCTTGGCATTTATTTGAGGAGTCAGAAAAGTATTAAAAAATTTTTTTAATGTAAAAATGAAGCCACAATCCACCATACTTTTGTCTGGCTTCCTTATTTATCACGATAAATTATAATGATGAAACAGGATCAAATGGGTTGATATGTATAAAGCCTTTAGACTGGCACATAATAATCTCTGTATTAGTGTTAGTATTATTATTATTATTGCTACTATTAAGACATCTGTTTTCAGGATGGGAAAGACTTTTAAAACACAGTAGATTAAATTACACAGCAAAGTATAGCTATTGGCTACCTTAAACAAATGAACAAAAAAGAGACCCACATATGCACATAAAGAAGATTGGGAAGGCTGGGCATAGTGGCTCACACCTGTAATCCTAACACTTTGGGAGGCCGAGGCAGGTGGATCACCTGAGGTCAGGAGTTCAAGACCAGCCTGACCAATATGGTGAAATCCCTCTCTACTAAAAATACAAAAATTAGCCAGGCGTGGTGGCATATGCCTGTAATCCCAGCTACTTGGGAGGCTGAGGCAGGAGAATAACTTGAACCCAGGAGGTGGAGTTTGCAGTGAGCTGAGATCACGCCACTGCGCTCCAGCCTGGGCAACAGAGCGAGACTTCTGTCTCAAAAAAAAAAAAAAAGATTGGGAATATGTTTACATAGGTTTTCTTTGGGGTTTATAGGTGATTCACAGCCCTCTCTCCACCCTTATTTTCTCTCTACTTCACATCAAACATCTTTCGTCTCAAAGTTGGGGAAATTAAGTCAACCATATATAGAAAGAGTAGTAAATACAGTTGACCCTTAAACAACTCAGGGGTTAGGGGCACTGACCCTCCGAACAGTTGAAAACCCACATCTAACTTTTAAAATTATGCACATATAACCTTTGACTCCCCCAAAACCACTAATAGCCTACTGCTGACCAGCCTTACTCATAACATCAACAGGTGATTAACATGTATTTTGTATGTGATATGTATAATACACTATATTCTTACAGTAAAGTAAGCTAGAGAAAATAAAATGTCATTAAGAAAATCATAAGGAAGAGAATTTACTATTCGTTAAGTGGAAGTGGATCATCATTAAGGTCTTCATCCTTGCATCTTCATGGTGTATAGGCTGAAGGGGTTGGTCTTGTTGTCTCAGTGGTGGCAGAGGTGAAAAGAAGGCCAGAAAGGCAGGCACACTTGGTGTAACTTTACAAAAACATATGTAATTTAGGTCTGACTTTTTTTGCTTTTTCCATTTCTCTAAAGATGTTTCCATATGGTACCAATCTTTCTTCCGTAGTTTCCTTTAGTTTCAATGCCTGTATCATAGAACGGTCCATGTTGTAAAAGAAGTCAAATGCAGTCTTGAATCACTAGAACTCTTCTGCTGGACTGTCTAATGTCAATTTGTTTTCTGGTGCTGCTTTTTCTACATCTTCTTCCTCATCATCTGGCACTGGCTCAGAAGCGTTCATCTCCATCAAGTCATCTTTTGTTAATTCCTCTGGTGTGGTGTTTATTAGCTCTTGAATTTCTCCAAGATCCGTATCTTGAAACTCTTAGCTCCCTAACTTTTTTTGCCATATCCACAATCTTTTTCATGATTTCCTTGGTTGGCTCTGTCATAAAACCTGTGAATTCACGTGTAACATCTGGACACAGTTTTCTCCAGCTGAAATTTATTGTTTTGGGCTTGATGGCTTTCATGGCTTTTTCTTTAACAATGATGGCATCTTCAATAGTGCAATTCTTTTAGACTTTGATGATGTTCTATATAAGGGTTCTTATATATCACCGACAATCCTTTTCATAAAGTACTGAGTGTAATGAGCCTTTGGTGTTGAACACACGGGGCTCTGGGTGGCCAGGCGCATTGCTCAGAATCAAAAGAACTTTACGAGGCAGTCCCTTATTAGCAGGGTTCTTCCTGGCTTCAGAGACAAAGCATCAATGGAACCAATCCAGAAAAGGGGTTCTCATTTTCCAGGCTTTATTATTTTACATCCAAAGACGGGCAGCTGGTGTTTACCTTTTCCCTTCAAGACTCAGGGTTTAGCAGCTTTATAGGTAAGGGCAGTCCTGATCATAAACCCAACCGCAATTGCACAAAACAGTAGAGTTAGCCTATCCCCATCTGCCTTAAATTGTGGTGCTTGCCTCTCTTCCTTGCTAATATATGTCCTTTGTGGCATTTTTTTTTTCCAGAGTAGGACACTTTCATCTGTATTAAAAACTTGTTCAGACTGGGTGCAGTGGCCTGTAATCCCAGCACTTTGGGAAGCCGAGGCAGACGGATCATGAGGTCAGGAGTTCAAGACCAGCCTGGCCAACACGGTGAAACCCCATCTCTACTAAAAATACAAAAAATTAGCCAGGCATGGTGGCATGTGCCTGTAATCCAAGCTACTCAGGAGTCTGAGGCAGGAGAATCACTTGAACCCAGGAGGTGGAGGTTGTGGTGAGCGGAGATCGCGCCACTGCACTCTAGCTTGGGTGACAGAGCAAGACTCCGTCTCAAAACAACAACAACAACAGCAACTTGTTCAAGCAGATACCCATTCTCCTCAATGATTTTCTCAATGGTGTCTGGGAGCCTGTCTGCTGCTGCTTGGTAGGCAGAAGCTGCTTCTCCTGTTATCCTGACAATTTTTAAGCAAAACTTCTTTCTAAAATTATCAAACCATCCTTTGCTGGCATTAAATTCTCCAGCTTTAGATACTTCACCTTCCTTTTAAGTTGTCATATAATGAGTTTGCTTTTTCTTGAATAATATTTGAGGCTATGGGTATACTTTCTTATAGAAATCCTGGACCCATTTAAAAAGCTGCATTTTCAATACAAGATAAAAGACACAATATTTCACAAAACGTGTGGGGTTTCCATACCTGCTGGTGTATGAAAAGTGATGACTTCACAAATTTCCTTTTTAAAAAAAAAACGAAACACAATGCTCCTTACACTGGATTCATTTATCTTGAAATGGCAGACAACTGCAGCTGCAGACCTTAATCTGTGGTACATTTCAAGCAATTCAACCTGTTCCTGTAATGTCGTAACTTTTCTCTGCTTCTTAGAAGCACTTCCACCACCACTAATGGTATTTCTTATGGGTCTCATGGTATTATTCAAGGTTAGGATATTGCACTAAACACAGTGAGAGATCACATTTTAACGTCATAACACAATTTACTGGAGACAGGAACTGCTCATGTGGAGATAACTGATTAGCATCATCATTTTCAGCAGATACTCTCAACACTTGAGCTCACTGTAATAGCAACGCGAGGTGGTTACAAAATTACTACAATAGAATGGTATGCACTACAGTTAATTTTATGCAGTTATGACTTAATACTGCATCTTTATGTTTCTTAATAGTTCTCTTGACCGCATATGGCAGAACACAAGGTCTTTGTGTGCATAAGTCTTGATAAATATTAACTTTTCTTAATACATTTGGATATATCTCATGGTAGTAAAAGACAAAATAGACTAGTATCTACATATATTTTATACATTCACGCCATCCCTTTTTCTTAATTTTTTTTTATATTTCTAAGCTATGTGGTTTTTTTTTTTTTTTTTTTTACAAATTGTTGGAAATCTTCAAGACAAAATTTCCAAAATATTTATTGAAAAAAATATGTGTATGAGTGGATTCTCACAGTTCAACAAGATGAAGAACAGATTTGTGGCTGCCAGGGTTAAGGCTGGTGAGGAGTAGGAGAGGAGTAATGCGATGGGTGTGACTATAAAGAGGTAGCACAGGGAGAGATCTTTGTGGTGATGCAATAGTTCTGAATCTTGACTGAGGTAGTGGTTAGATAAATCTACATATATGACAAAAATCACAGATTTATACAGACACGTATTATAAAAATATCAATTTCTTGGTTTTGATATTGTACTATAGTTATGTAAGATGTAACTGCTGAGGAAAACTGAATGAAGAGTAAGTAAATGGGACTTTTCTGGACTACTTTTATAACTGCCTATGGGCCTCTAATTATCTCTGTACTATTTTGTTGCAACTTCCTGTGAATCTATTATGTCAAAATAAAAAGTTAAAAAACAGCAATAAAAACAAAACTACATAATGAATTATGAAGCTAAAATTGCACCGGGACTCCCAAGAACTAACCCACTATTTCTTCTTAAACTTTGACATGCATTTATGGTTACCTGGCATTAAAGGAATTTTGCCCTGCCCCACCTCTACCTCTCAAGAGCTGCTAAATTTCTCTGTGATTAAAAAAAAAAAAATTGCTTTTCCCTTTGTCTCTATCTCTTTCTGTTTCAGATTCTAAGATCTTCCTCCAAGTCACACTAGAATACAATCCAGGAAATAAATTATGCCACAGATGCCATCTTGCATATTGACAGTTCAGCCTGGTCAAGAATTAGTCTATACTAAAATATCTCATATGAACATCAAAAGGTTGAAGTAAACTCAACAACTCAAAGGATGCTTTTTTCAAGGGTATGACTTAGGAATAAAACTGTTTTGAGTATACTATGTAAATAAGCCTCCATTTTAGCAAAGGCTAAATGAAATTTAGCAGCCTTGATACCCCTTAAAATTTGTTACAATGGATTTAACTTGCAATTTTAAAATCACGTAGTAAAGAGAAATCTTCAAATAGTAAATCATATATAAAGGCAATTTCTTAACAGTCATTATAAGTGTATTTGAAAGAATATTCATTGATTAATTTTAAACTATGAAACTACTAAGCCCAATTTTCACTTGCATTTATTTTGGAAGCACAGGGAGGGCAAAATCCCACAACTGATGACCACCTACCCTATGAAAGAATTACTGAATTCACAGAAGTCAGAGCTTCCTTATATCTTGTAGGTTTGTTCTGCAAAGAAATTCTTGATCTAAATTTCATCTTGTAGGTTCCAATACTCTTAAAAGGAATGTTCTAAGGGTGATGCTGTAGGGATACCTACAGATAGAAGAGAGAAAAAGCCAATATAGACTAGTATGTAGATAAGAGACTGAGGGAAGAAAAGAAAAAGCGATGGAATCTGTAAATGACTGGAAGCAGGGAGAGGGCAATGGGGCTGGGAGATCCTAACAAAGAGAAGATAATTATTGCTGAGACATCTCTGTGCTCAAAAGAGGACAGCTTTAGAGGAATACGGCATATCCATTAGCATTCAGCCTAATATGGTTATCTACAAAGAAGTCTCAGTCACACATGAAGTGCTCACTACTATTCCTATATCTTAACCCACAATATAAACTTTAAAACTAACTCCTAGGTATTAAGATATATATATATAAACCCTTCTATTTTCTAATGTACTCACATCCTCTTTTCTCTTCCTTCCTCCCAATATGTTAAAGCTGTCCGTATAATGAGATCACAGATACAGGCAGGAGCTTTCTTTTCCTATCTCTGATGTCATATACACCTACACTACCAAACAACACTTTTCTTCTCTACCTTCCTTAATCCTAATCTAAGCCTTATCTTATTATATATTAAAGAAGTTCACAGTGATGAACAGCAGTAATACAAACTGACAAAACAGCGGCAACTCGCTTCTAACACAGCAATTGGTTTATTCTGGTCTGTATAGCAGAACAATTTCAAGTCTACAAGTCTTCTTTGCTTTCTTCAAATCTCTCATTATATTTATTAATTGTTTATATTTTAATTTTAAGGCAAATGATTAATTTTCATTAAAACAAGGATAGAATTATGATATTCCTGATGCTGGAACTTTGGATGTTTCCAAGATTATATTATCTTGACATACACTAGAAGGTTTGCACAGAGAAGCTTTTTCTATATACTGTCGGAAATATCTCAATTGTTAAATTTTTCAGAAATATTTTAATAAGATACAGTCCAGGTGTGGTGGCTACACCTGTAATCCAGCACTTTGGGAGGCTGAGGTGGGTGGATCACCTTAGGTCAGGTGTTCGAGACAAGCCTGGCCAACATGGTGAAACCCCATCTCTACTAAAAATACAAAAATTAGCCAGGTGTGGTGGTAGCACACCTGTTATCCCAGCTACTCAGGAGGCTGAGGCAGAAGAACCACTTGAACCCGGGAGGCAGAGGTTGCAGTGAGACAAGATCGCACCACTGCACTCTAGCCTGGGCAACAGAGTAAGACTTTGTCTCAAAAAACAAACAAACAAACAAGAAATATTTTAATTAATAAGATTCAGAATTATCTATTACATACTTTCCCTCATTTAACCAACATTCTTCCTTGATCCCTAGTAAATCCTAGTGATCCCAGTTATATAGAGGGGCTTATTATTTTTTGAATTTAATATCTGTTTGTTGATATAATCTAAATGTCTGACTTAATGTATTGATCTACGAGGATAAATAGAGTATAAAACTTTCTTCTTTGCTTTTTTTTTTTTGAGACAGAGTCTCACTCCATCACCCAGGCTGGAGTGCAGTGGCGCAATCTCGGCTCACTGCAACCTCTGCCTCCCTGGTTCAAGCGATTCTTGTGTATCAGCCTCCCGAGTAGCTGGAATTACAGGCATGCACCACCATGCTTGGCTAATTTTTGTATTTTTAGTAGAGATGGGGTTTTTCCATGTTGGCCAGGCTGGTCTTGAACTCCTAGCCTCAAGTGATCCACCTGGCTCAGCCTTCCAATGTGCTGAGATTACAGGCGTTAGCCACCACGCCCAGCCTAAAACATTCTTTGAATGCTCTATATGTCAGACTTTCAGATATATCCTGTCACTTTATGAATACTTGAGACCCTCATAAAAGAGGCAAACAGTATCCAATGTAATAACTACAGCACAAATTTCAAGCACAGTTGATCCCCTACTTAAGGCTTATTAAAAGCACCAGAGAATTGCTACTGGAAAGAAAACCGCACTGCAAACCACCTTTTTGTCATAACTCACCTTGTGCTTAGTAACAGAAAGTTCATTCTGAAGAGAAACCCTATTAGTGTAATCAATGTAGCAATGCCTTCTGAAGAAATACAAGCTTTATAGAACATCCGATAATTTATAATAGACAAAAATCTAAAACAAAAATCCTCTAAATGTAATAACATGGAAAAACCTTCAGAATACAGTCAAGCTTCTGCAACATGAAAGAACTCACACTGGAGAGAAGCCCTATAAATAAATGTGTAAGAGCCTTCTAAAAGAAAACAATCTAAGCCAGGTGTGGTGGCTCACACCTGTAATCCCAGCACTTTGGGAGGCCAAGGCAGCTCACTTTAGGTCAGGAGTTTGAGCCCAGCCTGGCCAACATGGTGAAACCCTGTCTCTACCAAAAAATACAAAAATTAGCTGGGTGTGGTGGCATGCGCCTGTAGTCCCAGCTACTCTGGAGGCTGAAGCATGAGAATCACTTGAACCCAGGAAGCAGAGGTTGCAGTGAACCGAGATCACATCACTGCTCCCCAGCCTGGGCAACAGTGTGAGATCATGTCTCAAAAAAAGAAAAGGGAAAGAAGGGAAAGGGAAGGGAAAAGAAAACAAACCTTCATGATCAAAAGAGAAATCATATTGAGGAGAACTATGTATATAAGAAATATGGGAAAACTTTAATAAGTGCTGAGCTTTGACTGAATACCAAAAATCATTACTAGAAATTAATGAAACTACAGAATCCTTTGGCAAAACTTCTGCCCTACTCAGCATTGGAAAATTCATACTAGGGAAGAAACCTGAAAATATAGCCTAAATTATGGGAAGGAAAAAACTCCTGTTTCTGTAGAAAGGATGCTATTTTACAAAAGTCACATTGGGTGGATAACACTTCTGCAAAAACGACTCCAAAATGATAAACAATGGGAGATCATATGCATACAGGCTATACAGTATGAAGTTTTGAAATGGTCATTTATCAATCTCTAATAGTAAACAGGTGAGAAGGTATTATTCTAAGGTGCTAGAGATACCAGTGAATGGAACAAAGATTCCTGCCCACATGGAATTTATATTCTCGAAATGGGATGACAGACCCCAATCTGTACGTGCTTGACTTGTGACAGCCCCCCAGACTTTATCACCTATTAAGACTCCCGGGCTGGGCATGGTGGCTGATGTCTGTAATCCCAGCACTTTGGGAGGCTGAGGTGGGAGGATCACTTGAGCCCAGGAGTTCAAGACCAGTCTGGGCAACACTGCGAGACCCCATTTCTTAAAAAAAAAAAAAAAAAAAAGACCCCTGTGGTTTTGATCGAAATTCTTATTTATTAAAGCCTTATAACTACTAACTGCAGCTCAACTCTGAAATTACCCACTTCCAGGAATTTCTCAGAAATCTATAAAGTATTTTAAAGATCAACCAGTCTAAATACCCTTTATTTAGATTTAAAAAAAATTTCAAGGCCAAAGACAAGAAACAGATTGTATTAGCAGCACAATTTATAAATAGCAAAGCTGAAACAAAAATACAAGTCTTCTGGCTCCTTGCTCTTATGGTTTGGCCGCTAAAAAATTATCTTCTGTAATTCAAAGGGCTTTTAAATAAATTTTAAAGTAAGTGAAATTAAGTAATTAAGGATTTATTGAGCACCCATTCAGACTGCTGTGTGTTGGACCCTGATTTTACAAAGGGGGAGGGGCAGCAGCAAAATATATGGCAATTTGTCTTCAAAACTGCTTTAAACTAAAAAAGAAAAGACGGAAAGTGAGAGAGCAACTGTGTGAAAGTAAGAGTTGCAAGGGTATATTAATAGTGGTTGAATATAGATGATGGAACTTTCCCCCTTCTTTATAATCACTGTAATTACAGTTTACAGTTACAACCATGTTATTGTATTTTCTCCCCACCACTAAGAGACTACATATCAAGAGGAAGGGGGAACAGTAAAAACCAAGGTTTTGTGTGAAAGGGATCACTATCCATAGAAGTATCCAAATTTGGTCACGCAGCTTGGGCCAATGGACAAATGGAACATCTTAGGATTTCTGCAGCACCAGTATGGAAACACCAGGGCACAGTACTGAGGCCAGGGGTGGAGAGGGAGCTGTCAGGATATATATAACTGACTGAGCTGTGACCAATCTCAGTCCCAACAACCACAGACAGACACTAAAGAATACTCCTATTTCTAGAGCCAATGAGCTGCAGCCGTGTAATAGCATTTTATTCTTTCAATAAATATGCTTCAGAGTTGACAGGAGAAAAGAAGGGGAGAAAATTTAGGAGGTAACGTCAATGGGAGATACTGGAGAACAGAAGAAGGACAGAGAAAGAAGTGGAAAGGCTGAATTTTTGGTTTCTCAATTGTATTAAAAATGGATGGTTCAGAGCACTCAGAGAACCTTAAAAAACTTAACAAAATATGAGTGAACTTTTTTTCTATGTAATTAGATTCCTACTAAGTAGTTTTTAAAATGACTGGTGAAGTTTAATGGTGAATTCTTTTCTTTGGTAAACATATTTGCCTGTCTTCTCTATCATTACACAAAAAACTAGAAAATAAAGTACCAAAACCTGTTTTCTTGTTCTTCAATCTGAAGTAATTTCAAGTGTGTTACAGAATTGGAGAAAAACCAGGCTTAGCATTATGTTTGCTTCAGATCTGCTTTTAAAGATGTGATTTTACTTATCCAGTATTTTATCAATGACCAAGGACAATCTTTGTACAAAGAAAAATAATTTTTAACACTTCAGAGATAAGACAGTTTCTACAGTGAAATAAAAGACTTGGAATTTTTCTTTTTTTCCCCCGAGCAATTCTGAGATATATAGTACAACAGACATTGTAGGTAAGCAGCTTTATTTCTGAGCAAACAACTGTACCTCTTATAATTGCCCTATAGTTTCTTCCTCCAAGTCAAGAACGAGTTTAGGTAGAACACGTTTAGCTAAATTCTGTTTGACATACGAGAGTTGAAAATGCAGAATTCCATAAACTAGTAAGAATTACCAGGTCCTACTTAGGAAATTAAATCAGGAGTGGGAGATATATATTATACGTAACTCAGAAACTGTCTACATTATTGAAAGCTGAGACTTGCGTGGTTCAATCACCAATCTGCAACTAAAATCACTATACCACACAGTTGGATTCAGAATCTATATTCTTCAAAATTGAAATTTAGTTCATATTTTAATATAAATAAACCATCACCTAAAATAATGTTACATGTGGAAACACAAAAATGAGCATTGATTTAAATAGTTTTCAGCCTGGTGTGCTGGCTCACACTGATCCCAGCACTTTGGGAAGCCGAGGCCGGGGGATCGCTTGAGCCCAGGCATTCAAGACCAGCCTGGGCAACGTAGTAAGACCTTGTCTCTATCCAAAAAAAAAAAAAAAAAAAATTAGGCAGGTGTGGTGGTGTATGCCTTTAGTCTTAGATACTTGGCAGGCTGAGGTGGGAAAACCACTTAAGCCCAGGAGATCAAGGATGCAGTGGGCCGTGATCATGCCACTGCAATCCAGCCTGGGCAATACAGTGAGACTCTGTCTCAAAAAACAAACAAAAACAAAATACACTGAAGATCTTTTAAACAGTTTTATAAAGTATATGTATACTTTTAATATACAATTATATATGAAGTAGAGACCTGAATATTGATATAATGGACACAAACATAAAATTAATTTACTAGTTATAGACTCAGTTATAACCAATATCTTTTCATAATATCTGAGGTTTAATTTTGATTTAACAATAAGAATTCCTTTATCCTCCAGTGAAGGTAATATTCTAATGTATACTATATAAAGAGACATCATTTTATGTTAATAAAGATTAATACACTAAACTGGCTGCCATCATAGGTTAAACAATCTATTTTTAACTTATCAGTAGCAAGAGTTTTGACATAATAAACAATATCTGTACAATCATTTTGGAAAACAAATTAGCAATAGTTGATTAAAAATTTAAAGATGCTCTATAATCCAGTGATCAATGCATTAAAGTGTATATATCAACACAGATGCTAGTCAACAATGTTGAACATCAAAAGCATGCTACGAAGACAAGAACATCAAAAGCATGCTAAAAAGACCGAAACAACAGAACACCATCTACATAAAATATTTGAAACTGCAATAGCATGCGTTAAGGGATACCTATACATAAAGAAAAAATATAACTAAATAGACAGGAATGATACAGACCAATACTGGATGGTGATTACCTTGGTGGCAGAATGCAGAAAGCCTTTCTCAGTACTGGTTAGATACACAGGAATTTATCTTATTATTTACTATGCTTTGTTATATGTCTTTAATATATCATACTAAATTTTAAAAACATTTTTCTGCCAGATAACAAAGGCCTTTTTATACTGGCCAGATTTAATACACTCTTAGTGTTCACACGAGACTAATACATTAAGAATATATTGGCTGGGCGCAGTGGCTCACACCTGTAACCCAGCACTTTGGCAGGCCAAGGCAGAAGGATCACTCGAGCCTTGGAGTTTGAGACCAGCCTGGACAGCACAACGAGACCCTGTCTCTAAAAAAATAAAATAAAAAATTAGCCAGGCATGGTGGCACATGTGTATGGTCCCAGCTACTTGGGAGGCTGAGGTGGGAGGATCATTTGGGCCTGGGAGGTCCTGGCTGCAGTGAGCCGTCATTGCGCCGCTGCACTACAACCTGGGGAACAGAGCCAGACCCTGTCTCCAAAAAAAAGCTAAAAGTATTTTGGTGCTACATCATTTCTTCCAATAGTTACTGTTGTCAATTTTTAAAAACACTCTCTCATTGGGCAGACATTTACTAAATACTATGTTCAACCTCTCATTCTAAATATTGAGCTTCCACTATGTGCCAGTCAGATAAAATGGTAAGCAAAAATTGTCAGTCTCTGCCCTCATGTAGCTTAAAATCTGGTGGAGAGGCAAGCAAATCAAGTACCTGTATTCACTCTCTTGATAATCTCACCCACACTTTTAAATACCACCTCTACACTGACATCTCCTAAACTTATTATTTCTAGACTGGACTGGAAATATATGCCAGTATACATTCCCAAACTCAACATTCTCCTTGGCTGTCTAACAGGCATGTCAAAATAAGTATGTCCAAAGCCAAACTCCTGCAAAATCTGTTCCTCTAGCCTTTCTCCACAAGGGTGCATTGTGCATTATATTTTATATGAATAGCAGCCCCAGGAGTTGTATACGACAACAATAATAATTTTTCATCCCAGAGAATATCAACTACATGCATCTGGCTTCAGGCCAAAAACCTTGGTGTCATCCTCTACTCTTGTTTCACATACAATGTCTGGCAACTTCTCATTTATCTCTTCCATTCCCACCCTGATCTAAGCCACCTTCATCTCTCACGTGGTCTCCTTGATTCAGTCCTTGGTACCACCTCTTCTTCCCCTATGCTCTTTGCCACATATCCTAGTCAGCAGTATCAAAGAGCTGCTTAAGGCCGGGCACAGTGGCTCACGCCTGTAAACCCAGCATTTGGGGAGGCCAAGGCGGGTGGATCACTTGAGGCCAGGAGTTTGAGACAAGCCTGGCCAACATAGTGAAACCCTGTCTGTACTAAAAATACAAAAATTAGCGAGGCGTGGTGGCATGCACCTGGAGGCCTAGCTACTAGGGAGGCTGAGGTAGGATAATCACTTGAACCCGGGAGGCGGAGGTTGCAGTAAGTTGAGATCACACCACTGCATTGCATTCCAGCCTGGGTGACAGAGCAAGATTGTCAAAAAAAAAGAAAAAAGAAGAAGAAAGAAAGGAAAGAAAGAAAGAAAAGAAAAGAAAAGAAAAGAAAAGAAAAGAAAAGAAAGAAAGAAAGAAAACAAAAGAAAAGAAAAGAAAAGAAAGAAAGAAAAGAAGAGAAGAGAAAAAAAAGAGCGACTTAAAACCTAACGCGGAAAATGTCACTTCTCTGCTCACAACCCTCTAATGGCTTCCCATCTTTTTCACAATGGCCCCACACCATCTAGCCCTCACCCTACCTCTCATCTTCTAGTACATTCCCTCCCTTGCTCACTCACTGTAGCTCACTGGCCTTTGCCCCGACTTTCCCTTTGCCTGGAATACTATTTCCCCAAACACTCATATGGCTTGCTCTCTCACTCACCTCCTTTAGGCCTTAATGCAGATGTCATCTTCTCAGTAAGGTCTTCCTGATCATCCTATCTAAAGTTGCAACTCCCACTACCCTCACACTTCCTATTCTCTTCTCTCTGCTTTATGTTTTTCATGACACTCTATAGCTAACCTCACCCAAATATCAGATCCATGAGGGCAGGAATTTTAGTGTTGGCTTACTGCTATACCTTCAGCAACTAAACTAGATGTTTTAAATTGCATAAAATAGGCATACAATAGGCATCCAGTAAATATTTGTTGAATCACAACACAAATGTAAAATTGCAATTGACGAGTCCAGTGAAAAAGTATAGAGTGCTAGGTGACCCTGTAGAAAGACAAAAAAAGCTTACCTGAGAAAGTCAAACTAGAGCTGAGAACTGAAAGATGAGTAGAAGTTAATTAGGATGTGCACAGGCTCAGTGGTGAGAGGGGCTAAAGGAAGGCTAGTATATCTTAGACCAGAAAGACAGGAAAGATGTAAGATGGGGTTGCAGAAGGTAGAAAAAGGTAAAACTGTGAAGAGATCTGTAGACCATATTAAGATGGTTCTTTATCCTCAGAGCAACAGGAAGCCAATGAAGTGTTTTAAGCAGAGCGATCACATGAACAGATCCAACAGATGTTGAAAAGATTACCATGGCTACTGGGTAAAAAAGCATTTAGAGGGGTCAAAGTAAATGCAGGTAGATGAAGTAAGAGGTCACTGCAATAATTCACTTGAGAGAAGACAGTATTTTACATTGGGGTGTTGGGAGTAGAGATAGACTGGATAGATAAGGTACTTAGGAGGTTAAAAAAATCAAAGGGATTAGATAAATGGAGTAAAGGTCAAGGGAATTTTAAGGTTTATTTCTAAGTTTCACAAAGTACTATCAGATGCCCCAAGGGAATAAAAATTTCCCATAGATGTGAAGTCTATGTCTTCAAGTAGTATTATCTGGATCTTCAATATCCAAGCTCCTAGCCACCAATGGCTACTAAGCACTTGAAATATAGCTACTCCAAATAAAGATGTACTGCAATTGTTGTATATGTTGGATTTGAAGGCTTAGCGGAGAAAAAAGAATGTAAGATATCTCAATAATTTTTTACACTGATTACAAGTTGAAACGATAATATTTTGTATGTAGCAGGTTACATAAAATCATTAAAATCAATTTCATCTTTCTTTTTACCTTATAATGTGGCTACCAGAAAACAAAGTTATATAAATGGCTTATACTATATTTCTGCTAGACAGCACTGATCTCATATAAAGCAGCAATACAACTGTTGCAGTTCATTCAAAAGGAAAAAATACACCTAAGAAGAAGACAGGTGAATTTTAGGTCAAAAACGTAATTTGCATAAAGAATTTCATTTTTTTGATTTTTTTTTTCAGGGAGGAGAAGAAATAAGTATTTCTGGTTTTTTCTTTTTGCCATTTAAATACAAAAGCCATTTTCTTCTTGTGCTTTATTTATAGAATACATTGTTCTTCTTCTATTGCTAATCCAATGGTTCTACTTAGAGAGCCCTCTGAGGTATGGGGGAAAAGTTAGGAAAACACAGAATTGTGGAAATGATGGGAACTGACGATCATTTCGGCCCACCCCTTCATTTATAGGTATCGAATTTGAGATACTAAGACAGGAAGTAACTTACTTGAAAATCACAGGACTAATACTACCTACATCATGTAGGACATAAATGGAAACTCATAGTCATTACAGTGTTCAGGGCCACTACAGACTTGTATATAGCACAATGAATACACTATATTTTGTTCCCGAAAGAACTAAAATTGTATCTATTTTGTAGTATTGAATTTCAGGATTATCAATGACTTTGTTTTGGAATACAAAATCACATTGATATACTAGATGAGAGGTTAAAAAAAATCAGATTTTAGAGTCTGAAACCCAGTTCCACCACTTAGTTGTGTACCAAAGACAATTGTCACTGTTTCCTCATCAGTAAAACAGAGATACTATCATACTCAGGATGTTAAAATGATAGGAACACTATACACACACACACCCCCATGCTTATAGTGGATAGATGCATAACGCCAGTCCCTTTGTTTTCATTAGAAACAAATGATGTGTTTCTTGATCCTTTCTCTCCTCTCCAAAATGTCAACGCAGTCATATTATTAAGTCATAAAATAAAGATATAAGGGAAAAGATTACTAGAGTTAGTGGTGAAACCCAGTTTCAAATTTCCATCTTCCCATTAAAAAGCTTCAAAGCAATAGGTAAATCATTCAACTTCCCTAAGTCTATTTCCTCCAGTAAGTAATGCAGCCAAATCAATCAAAATGATTCAAATACAGCTGACCTGTAAACAACACATGGGTCTACTTATACACGGATTTTCTTCCACCTCTACCACCCTTGAGATAGCAGAACAAATCTCCCTTCTTCCTCAGTCTACTCGATGTGAGGCTAATGAGGATAAAGACCTTTATGATGATCCGCTTCCCCTGAATGAATAGTAAATATTGTTTCTCTTCCTTATGATTTTCTTAGTAACATTTTTTCTCTAGTTTATTGTAAGAACCGAGTACAAAATACATATAACATACAAAATATGTGTTAGTTGATTGTTTATGTTACCAGTAAGGCTTTTGGTCAACATCAGGCTATTTGAAGTTAAGTTTGCAGGGAATCAAAAGTTATAGAAAGAGTTTTCACTGAGCAAGTGTCAATGCTCCTAACCTCCGCTTTGTTCAGATGTCAAGTATAGTCCTATCTATGACTCAATAATGTATTGCTATGAATGCCACGTGGGTTTCTGAGGCCCAAACAGTATGTAGATAAGTTACAACACAAGCTTCAAACATTTTAAAATTAATATGAAGTATAATTTGACATTTCTAAAACACTTAATTTGAGATTGATCGTTTTCTATATTTAAAAGGAACATTCTCAAAACTACTTACATCTGGTTGAATAGCTTTAAATACTGGAACATCCATTAATGTTATCTGACCCTGAAATATAAAGTAAAAATGACAATTTCTTCTTTGGAATTCTATACCATAACATGTAACCTAAATTAAAATTATATTCTATACTAAAATATTACCAAATACTCAATTTTATAAGGGCTTATGGAAAACAAAATTTAGCCCCTGTACCATTAAATAGAATTATTTCTAATGATCTCATGTCTATTTATATTTTCTTGGAAGATAAATTGTGTAAAGTTAAAAAATAAAAATAATTTTAAAAATTTGGACAGTCACATTAAATTATAATCAAAAAATAAAAACCAGATTTATTAGTTCACATAGCAGTGTTCTTGTTATGATGATTACAGCTCCTCAAACAGTGGTATAAAATCAGATATTACTAAAAAGGTTTTCTTCCTAACTTATAAAAAAATAATGAAACTACACTAAAGCCAACATTATATCTAAGAGCTTTATATGCTATGGACCTATCCCACTTATGGCTATAGATATAAGACAAAAGTCAACACTATCAAGGAATAATATGCTATGACCAAGCACAGTTTATCTCTGGAATGCAGGAATGGTTTAACATTAGGAAATCAATATATTCTGTTAACAAATTAAAGGAGAATGAGAAAACAAATAAATTTATATTAAGAAATAAATGTTTTTCTAGATACCTTTCATCTAATAACACCTTCATATTTCATTTTTCAATTTTTTAATTAAAAAAACCAGTGAAAATGTTTCTTAGATATGTCAACAAAATACAGTTGGCTTAGAGAAATGGTATAGAGGGATGACAGCAATTACCATAATGGTAAATACATATTGCTACTTACCAAATTGAAGTGTAACTTATAAAGTTGCCCTAAAAAAAAATGTACAGCTTTTCTTACTTTTCCCACTTCATCCCTCTGTTTGCTCCACAGCTGTACTATTTTCCCCAATAATTCCCATATCCAGGTTTCTAAAAGCTGTCTCTTTTGCTGGACCTACAAATTCTAACTCAATAGCACCAATATGTAAATTATGTGCAAAACCGGAGAAGACAGAGGTAGGAGGCTTACCGCATATTCTTCTGGTGTAACCTTAAGAACATCGAATACCACAGCATCAAAGCTTTTCTTCAATTCAGAGCCTTTGTCACTTAAGGATTCAGAGCTGCTACTTTTCTGTTAAAGTGAAAGAAAATGCAGCCTTTTACATACTGTCTCACAATCAAGTGATAGAAACTAGATTGGCCTTAAAAACTGAGAAAACAAAACAGTAGGTTAACAAATGCTGCAGAAAAGCTGAGCACAACATGCTGCTTAGTTGTTAGAGTACCAGATAAAGGGTCAGACAACTTGAAATCTAAAACTGTGACTTTAAATTTTTAGGTTCTTGAATGAGTCATTTTCTTGTGTGTCAGTTTCCTCATCCTGACAACCTATCATTTCCTATAGAAATAAATGATTTTAACTAGTTCAATGATTCTCAAATAAGGTAAAGGGAAGTCAGGGGAGAAGGCTATACACTTACTTACAATTTTTTAAACTAATTTTTATTAAGAAAAAGACAAACTAGCTTTATAACAAGTTATCAGAAAATATTCAGAATGCTGTTAATTAAAGAGTTACATATAATCCATTCTTAGTTATGTGATCTGTTTGTGATAGTACAATTAATACTATTCTTCCTATTATATTACAAATTTAAGTTTTCCCTGCTTAAAAATTACTGTTTCAAGTTTGAATATGTTGTGGCTATACATAGAATGAAAGGTGGATTTTGGCCCTGAAAATCTTATTACTGTTAAAAATTTTCCACTTCGTCTGTGCCATGACATAATAATATATTCTGTATCAGCTGGCTAAATTCAGAGGAACATCAATATGAGAATATTTAGATCAGGCTCTATTAAATGGTGGTAGGATATGAGGCTACAGATAACAGCAAAAAAATTAATCAAAGTTTCAATTAGCACAGTACACACAGATCAACCCACCAGCTATTATGTATTAGTTTTAAGCACTTGTCATTATGCCTCATTTTTGCTTTTCCTCCCTTTTAGTAGCAGCTAAATACGAAGTATCGAGCCACGATCATTACAAAGAAAGGGATCTGTCCTTAACTTTAAAAAATTCTCAACTATTATTACTTCAAATATTTCTTCTGCTTCTTTCTCTTGTCTTTCTGGTGTTCCCATTATGCATATGCTACACCTTTTGTCACTGTCCTACAGTCCTGGGCTATTCTGGATTTTTTTTTTCATTCTATTTTCTCTTTGCATTTCAGTTTGGGAAGTTTTACTGACAAGTCTTCCAGTTCACTGATTCTTTCCTTGGCTGTCTATTGGTCACCAGTCTACTGGTACTGGTTAGCTCACCAAAGGCATTCTTCGTTTTTGTCACAGTGCTTTTGAATCCTAGCATTTCTTTTCAATTCTTAATAGTTTTAATATCCCTGCCTATATTATCCATTTGTTCTCGCATGCTGTACGCTTTTTTTCATTAGAGACTTTGGCATATTAATGACAGTTAATTTTAACTCCCAGTCTGATAATTGTGAAATCTCTGCCTCATGAGTGTGGTTCTGTTGCTTGATGTATCTCTTCAAATTGTGTTTTTTCCTTGCCTTTTAGCATGGCTTGTAATTTTTTGTTGAAAGCTAGAAATGGTATATTGGGTAATAGGAACTCAGGTTGAATAGGCCTTTACTGTAAGGGTTTATTTTTATCATGCTAGGCATTATGCTGTGCTTATAATTTGGTGTTGTTATAGGTGTCTGAGTCTTCAATTTCCTCTAGTATCATTTTTTTATCCTCTGTTGTCTTTGGTTTTCCCTAGAAATCTCTTCTTACAGTCTGAGCCTTGCAGTTCTTTCAGCTGAAATCTTAGTATTATACAGGAGCCCTGCTGATGTGGTGGGGGAAGGCAGGGTGTGTGTGTGTATTTGAGGGGTTGCTGGGGGGGAGTGCCCTATAGTCCTAAGATTAGGTTTCAGTCTTTCACTGAGTGTGTCCCCAGGCTATGACCTTCACAAATGCTTCTCTGTCCCCCTGGCTCTGCTTAGGTGAGACAGGAAGTCTAGAGGGGCTTCAAGTTGAGGATTTTTCCTCTCCCAAGTAGGTTAGGCTCTGGTGAAGTAGTTTCCCTTGAGGGCAGGTGGAGAACAGAATGCTCTGGGCATATTTCAATATGGTTACTTTCTATCTGGGTGTATTTCAAAATGGCTGCTTCTTTCCTCCTCCTGCTAGAAGCAGAAGTGAATTTTTCTCTGTCTTTACTGTGAAAAACTGGTGGGCATCCTAGAGGTAATAAAAATCACAAAAGCAGAGGGTGAGAAGAATCTAAGACTGGACACCCAAGGAGTTTTTAACTTTCAAGCTAGTCCACACACTGTCTCCAGCAGTTCATCAATTAGGGTTTACGTGGCTCCACTGACTTCTGCTCCCGTAAGCTGTGATTCTCTATTTGCCTCTCTCTCCAGGTTTCAGGGCATCACTGTTAAATGTGCTCTGTTATAGCAATTCTCTGATAAAGCTAAGAGGAGTTATTGATTTTCAGTTTGTTTAGCTTTTTTCCTATTGTGAGGACAGGAGTGATGAATTCTAAGCTCTTTACAAATCTGAGCAGAAACCTGAATTCCAGTGAATGAATCCAAGCAGAAACCTCAAGTCTCATAAACAAAATGGAGTTTTATTTCTTGTGTTTAATCTCTGTAACTATGACTAGTTTATAGTATGTCAACAATATTATTTTACATCCCAAAACTAATAAAACATTTTTTTCATAATGTTAAGTATTCAAATAGACATCAGTTAAACAGTATACACTAATCCAATAGCTGTCCAAATAACCAGATGCATTCTGTCAGGTGAACACATGAATCATAAACATAAATCAGTAATTTTCTCCAAGTTTTTAACTCATCCAAGTTAGTAAACCATCATGACAATTTTATTGCTTATCAAAAAGAATAAACACTTCTCTTTTTTCCTTCTTAATGGCCATTAGAGGCTTAAAAATTACTAGTGTGCATTTTGACATGCTTCCCTAATACCAGTAATAAATTGGTAATGATAAGACACTAAGCAATAATGTTCACCAGGAGAATAGCAATAATTCATTCAAGGCATGACTCAAAAACTTCTAAATGTCTTCTAAATGTCTGAAAACAAGTTCACTGTAATTCTCCTACTGACGGAAACTTCAAACACGAGTTAAATATAAAAGGATAAAGTATTTTATCCATTCTGTAAGCTTATCACTTCTATAAGAAATTTGTACTTTGATGTTACTAGACCTATAATTTGAGAGAAGGTGGAAAATACAGATTTTTAATTTTATTTTCTTGCCACAATAAATGGACAATTTAAAGGGCAGACTTTTTTCACTCTTACTTTATAACTGCTAATTATACTACTCTGAAGCCTGATGTAATTAATTCACTTTTGGTAAAGTCAACAGAATTGTTTGTACAAGTGAAATGATCTATTTTATTTAACAAATATTTGTATTCTGCTTCCTATGATACTAGAACAGGTATTTCTGGATATATAGTTAAAAATATACACATACATATATATATATATAACATATTCAAGAAATATGGTTATAAATATACAAAGAAAACAAACATATATTACAAACATATATATAAACATAATCTTATGGTTGTAAATATAAAAAAGCTATGCATACATTTACGGAGAAAATTACAGAAAGAGATTTTTCTAAGTGACAGTTTTAAAAATAGGAAAGCTCCCATCTGTTTAAGGGATTAGGAGAGGCTTTATTAAAAGCATAGCATTTGAAATATGTTTGAAAGACAAAACTTTTTGTGTGTGCAGTGATGGGGAGGGGACACACCAGAATGGGAAGAAAAATTCCAGCTAGAAACATTGGTATAGGCAAAGTTATGACAGAAGAAGGAAAATGTAATAGTTTATACAGACAACAGCAAATGTAGTATTCTCTCATTAGACTGTTAAGTTTCAAGTAGAGGATTAGTAGGGGTTAAATCCAAAAATTTGGGGCCATTTTGAAGAAAGTCTTGAATAAAAGGCTCAGTGGGCATTTAAATTTAATTAGTAGGCAATGAGGAACCACAGACAGTTTTGAGAAAAGATAAAGTTTAAGAGCTGTATTTTAAGAATATTAAACTTAAATTTCAGTTGAAGGATCAGAAACAACAGAAAATATAAGTGCAACACCCAACTAAAAGGTCATGGCACTAATCTAGACAAGAAATAATAAACGACCAAACTAACATGGTAGTACAGTAATAGAAATAAGGAGAAAAGTACTGGATCCCAGAGATAAAGCACAGTGGACAGGCTCTAAGATAGCTGCTAAAGATCTCTATCTCTTGGTATTCTCAACCCTGTGTGATCCTCTCCCCTTGAGTGTGGGCAGAACCTGTGACTTGTTTCTAACCAGCAGAATATGGAAAAGGAGATGAGATGTCACTTCCATGATTACGTTATATAAGATTGTAACTTCTGTCTTGCTAGCAGATTCTCTCTGCTATGATGAGACAATGGTTGTGGTGGGCAAAAATTAACAACACATTGGCCGGATGCAGTGGCTCACATCTATAATCCCAGCAGTTTGGGAGGCCAAGGCAGGTGGATCACCTGATGTCAGGAATTCAAGACCAGCCTGGCCAACAAGGTGAAACCCCATCTCTACTAAAAATACAAAAATTAGCCAGGCGTGGTGGCAAGCACCTGTAATCCCAGCTACTGGGGAGGCTGAGGCAGGAGAATTGCTTGAACCTGGGAGGCAGAGGTTGCAATGGGCCCAGATCGTGCCACTGCACTCCAGCCTGGGCAACAAGAACAAAACTCTGTCTCAAACCCCACCACAAATAAACAACACATCTAAAGATTTAAACTTAGATGGCTATGGAAATGTGATGCTATTAACCTAAGTTAGAGAAAAGGCTTGGACTATTTTCTTTATGGTTGTGGAGCAGAACAGTAATAAGAAACTTGATTTTGTGGACATTAAAATGTCTGGTCCATCAAAAATGCTTAATAAAATTCATGAGGGAAGCCAGGGCTAGAGATAAAAATAAATCATCTACATAACAAAAACAATTGAAACCATAGACTTAGACTATTTTCAGTGATATCAAGGCCTAAGTAACTAGCTGGGGCAAAATGGAGTTGGGGCTATTAAGGAACTTTGAGGTCAAGGTGTTAAAGGGTCATAAACATTATTCTCATCCAATATACTAAGAGAAAAATAAGAAATATAGAAGCCAGATGCTAAAGTTATTAAGGAAAGCAGGCAAGTTCCCTAGATTTATACACAAAGAAAAAAATAAAAAAGTTGGGGCAAAAATACAATCATAATATATTAACTAGAGGGGTGAGCATCTAGTTCAGTCTTCACATCTCCATCTTAAATGCTAAACTACATCAGCAGAGTAAGCCCTTACAACATTCCAGCCTAACGGTTCTTTTGTTTCCTCTAATATATGTGGAATCAAGGGATCTAGATGGGTCCAAAATTTAGTGATTCCAAGTAAAAGAATCTTTCTTTGCCTTACTTGCATTATTGCCCTCAAGGATGATGTAATGTAAAAATACTCTAAAAAGAAATTCTATGTTTCTTTTAAAAATAAAGAGTTTTATGAGTTACCATTATTTGTCATTATTTTTCAAGTATCTTAAGTAGATAAGGATTAAGTATACCTATGATGCACAGGGAACATACGAATCACTAAAATAAAAGTTAAAATATGTGTATTTCTCATTGTTCAATTCCCACCTATGAGTGAGAATATGCGGTGTTTGGTTTTTTGTTCTTGCGATAGTTTACTGAGAATGATGATTTCCAATTTCATCCATGTCCCTACAAAGGACATGAACTCATCATTTTTTATGGCTGCATAGTATTCCATGGTGTATATGTGCCACATTTTCTTAATCCAGTCTATCATTGTTGGACATTTGGGTTGGTTCCAAGTCTTTGCTATTGTGAATAATGCCGCAATAAACATACGTGTGCATGTGTCTTTATAGCAGCATGATTTATAGTCCTTTGGGTATATACCCAGTAATGGGATGGCTGGGTCAAATGGTATTTCTAGTTCTAGATCCCTGAGGAATCGCCACACTGACTTCCACAATGGTTGAACTAGTTTACAGTCCCACCAACAGTGTAAAAGTGTTCCTATTTCTCCACATCCTCTCCAGCACCTGTTGTTTCCTGACTTTTTAATGATTGCCATTCTAACTGGTGTGAGATGGTATCTCATTGTGGTTTTGATTTGCATTTCTCTGATGCCCAGTGATGATGAGCATTTTTTCATGTGTTTTTTGGCTGCATAAATGTCTTCTTTTGAGAAGTGTCTGTTCATGTCCTTCGCCCACTTTTTGATGGGGTTGTTTGTTTTTTTCTTGTAAATTTGTTTGAGTTCATTGTAGATTCTGGATATTAGCACTTTGTCAGATGAGTAGGTTGTGAAAATTTTCTCCCATTTTGTAGGTTGCCTGTTCACTCTGATGGTAGTTTCTTTTGCTGTGCAGAAGCTCTTTAGTTTAATTAGATCCCATTTGTCAATTTTGTCTTTTGTTGCCATTGTTTTTGGTGTTTTAGACATGAAGTCCTTGCCCATGCCTATGTCCTGAATGGTAATGCCTAGGTTTTCTTCTAGGGTTTTTATGGTTTTAGGTCTAACGTTTAAGTCTTTAATCCATCTTGAATTGATTTTTGTATAAGGTGTAAGGAAGGGATCCAGTTTCAGCTTTCTACATATGGCTAGCCAGTTTTCCCAGCACCATTTATTAAATAGGGAATCCTTTCCCCGTTGCTTGTTTTTCTCAGGTTTGTCAAAGATCAGATAGTTGTAGATATGCGGTGTTATTTCCGAGGGCTCTGTTCTGTTCCATTGATCTATATCTCTGTTTTGGTACCAGTACCATGCTGTTTTGGTTACTGTAGCCTTGTAGTATAGTTTGAAGTCAGGTAGTGTGATGCCTCCAGCTTTGTTCTTTTGGCTTAGGATTGCCTTGGCGATGCAGGCTCTTTTTTGGTTCCATATGAACTTTAAAGTAGTTTTTTCCAATTCTGTGAAGAAAGTCATTGGTAGCTTGATGGGGATGGCATTGAATCTGTAAATTACCTTGGGCAGTATGGCCATTTTCACCATATTGATTCTTCCTACCCATGAGCATGGAATGTTCTTCCATTTGTTTGTATCCTCTTTTATTTCCTTGAGCAGTGGTTTGTAGTTCTCCTTGAAGAGGTCCTTCACATCCCTTGTAAGTTGGATTCCTGTGTATTTTATTCTCTTTGAAGCAATTGTGAATGGGAGTTCACTCATGATTTGGCTGTCTGTTTGTCTGTTATTGGTGTATAAGAATGCTTGTGATTTTTGTACATTGATTTTGTATCCTGAGACTTTGCTGAAGTTGCTTATCAGCTTAAGGAGATTTCACATGGACACAGGAAGGGGAATACCACACTCTGGGGATTGTGGTGGGGTGGGGGGAGGGGGGAGGGATAGCATTGGGAGATATACCTAATGCTAGATGACGAGTTAGTGGGTGCAGCGCACCAGCATGGCACACGTATACATATGTAACTAACCCGCACAATGTGCACATGTACCCTAAAACTTAAAGTATAAAAAAAAATAAAATTTAAAAAAAAAGGAAATGTGTATTTCTGCACTAAATGCACTTCTGATTTAAGTATGTGAACAAACATAATGCTTGAAAAATTAGAAAGCCAGGTAAGAAACTTTACACCCAAGCTTCTTAAATATCTTACCTCAGAAGCAGTAGCTGCAATATTGACACTGCTTGCCTGCCCGTTCATTAGGTCCATGCTTTCCTCATCAGTCCCTGACCTTATGTTAACAGCAACAGAGGACTGACTGCCTCATGTCCAAGGCCACAAATACATTATTCCTGTAAAAAAAAAAAAAAGTTAAGCAAATGTCTTCCTCGAAGTTCAAGAAAACAACTCTATGCCTACCACCATGCCAAGAAACAAAAATTTCAACTTCACTAAACTCTATTTATTATCTTAGCTCAGTCGCTAAATCCAAACTGAGGACAATCTTGTATGCTCTTTTCAAACAATCAGAACACCAAATAAACAGTATTCAATAGATGTTATTGTTATGTTCTTCATAAGCAAAGCAAAAGCATAACTTTTCGCTAAGTGGGTATTGCGAGGGAAAAAAATCAAATGTACAACTTTCTTAAAGTAAATAAAATGTGTAAAAACACAGGTGGCAAAGTAACACATACCACAACACAATAAATTTTTAGCGATCCAAATGACACCTGTAAATCAACAATACTGAATAAGCTTATCACAGCTAGTGATCTAGATTACCAACATATCACAAATACTTAAAATATTATGAACTACATGTCATAAAAATACAATCATCTCTCAGTATCCATGGGGGATTTGTTCCAGGATCTACTATAGATACCAAAATCCACCGATGCTTAAGGCCCTTATATAATGGTGCAGTATTTGCATATCACCTATACACATCCTCTTGTATACTTTAAATCATCTCCGGATTACTCATAATACTTAATACAGTGCCAATGCTACGTAAATTGTTGTTATATTGTATTTTTTAGGGAATTATAGCAAGGAAAAGTCTGTACATGTTCAGTACAGATGCAACCATCCTTTTTTTTTTTTTTTTGCCCCAAGTATTTTCAACTCAGATTTGTTTGAATCCAGATGTAGAACCCATGGATATGGTGGCTTTACTGTACCATAATATACACTATGTTTATTTGTATAGGACTTTAAAGTTTATTAAATATCTTTAATACATTATGTTGATTTGCACAACTACCAATAACACTAATTAGGGAAGATATACCCACATAACAAACAAACACAGAGCTTCTGAGGACACAGGATGGTAAATAAGGAGCCAAGAACAAGTTTCAAGCCATCAAAATTCTAGTCAAATATTCTTTTCACAACACAGATTTTCCACTTTACTGGAAGTCAGAGTACTTACTTGAAGTTCTAATACCTTTCCATAAATAACCTGTCATATAAACTGAGTAGGTAACTTTACCTCTAGGACAGAATTTCTTCCTCTTTGTAAAATGACAGTGGTAAATGAACTTTAAGATCCCTTTTCAACTTTAAAGATCTATGACGTTTTTCATAAGAGAAATGGTAAGTGTCTATAAATTAGGTACTCTATGCTACATTCACTTTAAAAGCTGAGTTTTAAATGTTAATAATAATTACTTCAATGCTAAGTTTCCTTTCTCTGGAGAAGCAATATAGGATATAGTGATTTAAAAGCACAAATTTTGGAACCACATTACCTCTGTGTAAACCCAGGAAATTTTAACTTTTCTGTACTCAGTTTTCTCATCTATAAAATAGGGATAATAAGTACCTACTTCATAGAGTTGTGGTGAAGCGAAATGAGATAATATACACAAAGCACCTAAAACAGTGTTGGCACATGGTAAATATGCTATTACTATGATGTAATGATGATGCAGATGTTACTATCTGCTTAATTCCCATAAAGCTTAAATTCAACAGAGTCTCTTAAATAAAAAAGAAAAGACAAAACCTTAGAAATACACCTTTGGGAAGCAATTGTTGCTGGGCATTACTAAAAATCCTAATTGCAAACACAATGAATGAGAATGGCTAAGATCTGTTTCCTAGAAGTAGTAAAACATGCTCTTGGTTTTGAAATGCTTAAAAATTATTACTAATGATAGCAGCCTTCAGTCACATCTTGAATTTATCTTAATTTATTCAGATACAGCCTAGGTACCTGCTAAGAGCAGAACATCGTGCTAGGATTTTTAAAACAGAAATATATTCAAAATCATGAAGTTTTAAAACCATTTAACGCACCTACTTAGAAAATCAACGTGAAAATGAATAAACTACAAAACAATTTCCTCCCATCTAAACTATCTTATTCTATAAGCTTCATTATCCTTATAGTATTAAGAATCAACTTATATTTATACTGCTATGCAACAAAACCAGCTGATAATCCAGATTCTCTTTGAACATAGCACTCAGTTTGCAAAATATTTTTCAAATAATTACATTTCATTCCACTTTCTAGGCAACATTAAGTATAACATGAATTTATAAATCAGGGGTGCCCCCTAGTGCTAAGAAAAAGATTTTAATTTAATAGGTAAAGGAGTTATATCTTTAACTTACTTTACATATCAAAATATACAATTTATTACTTTTACTTAAAAAAATGTAATACAGACCAGGAACAATATTAAAATATTTGTAAACTATAAGCATGAAGAATCACATTTTCTCTCCTTTTATTTTTTTTTTTGAGACAGAGTTTTGCTTGTTGCCCAGGCTGGCATGCAATGGCATGATCTCAGCTCACTGCAACCTCCGCCTCCCAGGTTCAAGCAATTCTCCAGCCTCAGCCTCCTGAGTAGCTGGGATTATAGGCACAAGCCACCACACCCAGCTAATTTTGGGTATTTTTAGTAGAGACAGGGTTTCACCATGTTGGTCAGGCTGTAGAGACAGGGTTTCACCATGTTGGCCAGGCTGGTCTCGAACTCTTAACCTCAGGTGATCTGCAGGCCTTGGCCTCCCAAAGTGCTGGGATTACAGGCGTCAGCCACTGCACCTGGCCTTCTCTGCTTTTAAAATAAATTGTCACCCATGTATTTCATGAAAATTAAGGTCACATTAAAATCCATTACATATTTTAAAATATAGCAAAGCATACCTTAAAGAATATAAACTTTTCGTAACTATTTACAAATGTACATGTCAATAGTATTTTTTTTTTTTTTGAGACGGAGTCTTGCTCTGTCGCCCAGGCTGGAGTGCAGTGGCGGGATCTTGGCTCACTGCAAGCTCCATCTCCCGGGTTCACACCATTCTCCTGCCTCAGCCTCCTGAGTAGCTGGGACTACAGGCGCCCGCCACCACGCCCGGCTAATTTTTTGTATTTTTAGTAGAGATGGGGTTTCACCGTGTTAGCCAGGAGTCAATAGTATTTAATAATGTTGAAGTATAACAGAGAGGCTTATACGATATTATAAAAGTACTACAAGTTCTAAAAGACAGAGATACGAGTTTATTCTTTTAGTACGTCCTTCAAAGACCTTTCTATACTTTGCACACAGAAAAGTTCACATTAAATATGCCAAATATATGCTTTAATATTTTATTTACTTTTCTTTGTGTTATAAATGACAAGATCTTTCAACATGACTCAACATCACAGTAGCCTTTTTTTTAAGAGACAGGGTCTTGCTCTGTCATGCAGGCTGGAGCATGTGGCACAATCTTAGCTCACTGCAGCCTCCAATTCCTGGGGTCAAGCAATCCTCCCACCACCTCAGCTTTCTGAGTAGCTGAGGTGTGCACCACCATGCCCAGCTAACTGTTTACATTTTTTTAGAGACAGGGTATCACTATTACATCATCATCTATAAAATAGCAGACGTTATTTCTCAAAGTGTAAAGAAAAGTTTAAAAATAGGCCAGGTACAGGGGCTCACGCCTGTAATCCTAGCACTTTGGAAAGCTGAGACAGGTGGATTACCTGAGGTCAGGAGTTCGAGACCAGCCGGCCAACATGGTGAAACCCCGTCTCCATTAAAAACACAAAAAATTACCTGGGTGTGGTGGCACGTGCCTGTAATCCCAGCTTCTTGGGAGGCTGAGGTAGGAGAATCGCTTGAACCTGGGAGGCAGAGGTTGCAGTGAGCCGAGATTGCACCACTGTACTCCACCTTGGGAGACAGCGAGACTCCGCCTCAAAAAAATGTTTAAAAATAACAAAGTTACTTCATTCACTTAAGTTAAAATTGTTTTGCCTTCAGTCAATAAAAAGAGATTCTACACCTAAGTCTTCCAAATATAATTTTGTCACATTTGAACTAAACTATGAAAGTATGGGCTGATTCATTTGTAAACTGTCCCACATCTATACAGAAAGGTTATATTTCCATATACCTGAACAGCTTGAAACTAAACAACTTGTAGAAGAGAGACTTTCAAATGATTAAATATTAAAGGGAGAAAAATCTATAAAATAATGCATTTAAAGGTTATGCTTTATCTCCTGTACAGAAAGTTCACTAAGATAATTTGCTAAGTAATCCTAATAGACAAGAGCTGAGATCTCCTAAGATACCTGACCCAAAATACGAATATAGGTTAACTAGAAATTCAGGTAATAGCAAAGAAGTTCCAAATAAAAAGATAAACTGTGCTCTCCAAATATTTTGTGTTTTTGTTTTTGGTGGGTATGAGGTATTTTGGCCAGATGCTCTACTCAGAAGACTACCCCATAAAAGTTCACTTAACTCATTATAGCCTATATTTGCAATAAGACAAACAAGAAAACCAACATCTGGATACAATATTAGCAGTTAAAGCATGAAAACAACCCAAGTGAATCAGAAATAGGTTTAAATATTTGACAAAAGTGTGCTACTGTGGACCTAGGAATGGTCAGAGAAAGGAACATAGCATATTAGTGTGGAACAGCAGAACAGAAAAACAACATGGCAGTGCTGATGGGATAAGACAGACATCAAGATTCCATGCTTGGAGGCTCCTGGGTTTAAGAGATTCCCTAACCCCTAGGGGACAGCCACTAAGGATCTCTTGTACCTGGAATGTGAGGCTAAACTGAACATCACAGAACAATCTATAGGCAAGTGACTGCTACACAATGGAAAACTATGCAGCCATTAAAATACTGTAATACTTAATGACACATGAAAAAAATATTTATAATATACTGCTAAATGAATGAAGCAATTTACCAAACAGTATTTAAGGTATAGTCCTTTTTGGTAATCATTATTATAACATAAAGAAGAGAGATGAACCAACATACACTAAAATGTGGTTATCGCTAGGTTTATGACAATTTTTCCCTAACTTTAGCTTACCTGTATATTTTTAAATTTCCTACAAAGACATTAATTAGAAAAAAGTAAAAAAACAAAAACAGTTTTTCCTCACAGACTGCTTACTAGTTACAAGAAAAAAAAATAAGTAACTATATTGTGTGAAGAACTGGACAATCCCTTAACTGAGTACATCAAAATTATTATCACCAATGGGGAAAAGAGAGACATCATGTGCCTCTGGATGTGATGATACTCCGGGAAGGACACAACATTACTGACAAGAAGTTGAGCTGGGAACCCATAACTGAAATCTAATCTCAAGGACATGGACAAGTCTAATCTGAGAAACATTCGATAAATATATTCTTCAAAAAATGCCAATGTTATGAGAAAGGCTGAAGAACTATTACAATTTAAAGGAAACTCAAGAGATATGGCAACTAAAGGTCCTGTACTGGATGGTAGTAAATGCTTTAAGAGATATTAATGGTAATTCACAAAATTGGAATATAGACTGTAGATTACCATATCAATTTCCTAAATGTGACAATTTCCTGTAGTTATTAATACATAAAGAAGGCTGGGTGCGGTGGCTCACGCCTGTAATCCCAGCACTTTGGGAGGCCGAGGCAGGTGGATCACCTGAGATCAGGAGTTCGAGACCAGCGTGGCCAACATGGTGAAACCCCGTCTCCACTAAAAATACAAAATTTAGCTGGGCGTGGTGGCCGGCGCCTGTAATCCCAGCGACTAGAGAGGCTGAGGCAGGAGAATAGCTTGATCCCGCGACGGGGAGGTTGCAGTGAACCGAGATAGTGCCACTGCACTCCAGCCTGGGCAACAAGAGCAAAACTCCGTCTCAAAAAAAAAAAAAAAAACAACAACAACATAAAAAAACTTTGTTTTTAAGAAACGCAGAAGTACTAAGAGGTAAAAGGGTGGCCAGGCGCGGTGCCTCACGCCTGTAATTCCAACACTTTGGGAGGCTGAAGTGGATGGATCACCTGAGATTAGGAGTTCGAGACCAGCCTGGCCAACATGGTGAAACCCTGTCTCTACTAAAAATACAAAAATTTGCCAGGCCTGGTGGTGGGTGCCTATTGTACCAGCTACTCGGGAGGCTAAGGATGCAGTAAGCCAAGATTGCACCACTGCACTCCAGCCTGGGCGAGAGTGCAAGACTGTCTCAGAAAAAAAAAAAAAAAAAAAGTATGAAGTATGCAAACTAATCTTAAATATTTCAGGAAAACAGTATGTATACGTGTGACAGAGAAAATAAAGTGAATGATAAAGATAATGTGGCATCTTTTTCCCCCCAACATGGTTGATTAGAGGCTTTTAGCATGCATCAGCCACTTGGAAATATCAAGATAGTGCATAAAGATCAACTGTGGGCTGGGCATGGTGGCTCAAGCCTGTAATTCCAGCACTTGGGGAGGCCGAGGTGGGTGGATTGCTTCACTTCTGCTTAGGAGTTCAAGACCAGCCTGGGTGACATGGTAAAATCCTATCTCTAAAAACAAAAACAAAAAATCAGCCAGGCATGGTGGTGTGCACCTGTAGTCCCAGCTACTTAGGACACTGAAGCAGGAGAATCACCTGAGCCTGGGAGGCTGAGGCTGCAGTGAGCCGTGATCATGCCACAGCACTCCAGCCTAGGCAAGAGAGTGAGACCTTGTCTCAAAAAAAAAAAAAAAAGAAGCAATCGACTCTGTAAGCTTTAATTCAGGAAGGAAAACAGAAACCCAGTGGAATCATAAACGACACCCAGAGCCTGGGAAGGAGAACACAGGCTGATAAAAGTGAGTGAGGCCCCAGTATGCAAGAAAGGCAGAGAGCCTCTCTCTGTGACACTTTTTCCCTGGGCATCTGAGCAACCCAGGCCAAGGAATAGAACATTGTTGCTCCTAATCCCTGAAGCTAACTGGGGTGTTGGAACTGTGCTTTCCCCCACTGCAGGCCTTGGATGCGTGGGGAGAGCTGCTACAGCTGCACTTTCTCCCGGACAATGAGACGTGCAGCCAGGGCCAGCTTCATGACCTGAAACCAGTCTATGTATATCACTGCTGGGTACCCCAGCAAGCTCTCCTAAGATCGTGGTGCAGCAGGGCCCTCTCCACTCCACCTCAGGCATAAATCCAGAAATTTGGAGCACCCACTTGCCTGGACCAGCAGCCTGGGCCACCCTACCCTTCATGGACATTGATCATAGTGCAGCAGGGCCCTCTCTGCTTCATACCCAGGCAGATCTCCAGGTATTCAGAGCATCCCTTTCCAAGGATCAGCAGGCTAAACCAACCTACACCCTTTCTATGCATAGATTATGGTGCAGTAGGGCCCTCTCTACTGCACGCTTAGGCAGATCTCCAAGCATTTGGAGCACCTGCTTGCATGGACTAGCAGCCTGAGTCACCCCATCCTTCTTGTGCATGGTGGGTCCTCTCCACTTCATACCCAGGCAGATCTCCAGGCATTCAAAGCACTCACTTGCCTGCTTCAGCAGCCTGACCTGCCCCACCCTTCCTGGGTATATATTGTGGTGCAGCAGGGCCTCTCTGCTCTATGGCCAGGAAGACCTCCAGGCATTCAAAGCACTCATTTGCTGGGATTGGTAGCCTGAACAGCCCCACCTTTCCTGTGCAGAGATCCAGGTGCAGGGGTCCCCATCTCTGCTTCATATCCAGGCAGATCTCCAGGCATTTGGAGCACCTGCTCATCTGGAACAGCAGCCTGAGCCACCCTACCATTCCTGTGCAGAGATCCTGGTGCATGGGTGGCTATCTCTGCTCCATGCCCAGGTCCCAGGCATATCTCCAAGCATCTGGAGCACCCACTCTCCTGGATTATGAGTTTAGGCCACTCCTATCTATGTGTAGAGAACTTGGGGTCAAGGAGGTTTCTCAGTTCCACACCTGGACACACTTCTGGGCGTCTGGTGGCCACCCACTGGATTCTCCTTTGGCCTTGGTTCTTGTGCCTGCCACTGGGGGACCCGTAGGTGGACCTGCTTGGTCCAGCCCTGCCCACCTTCCACCCCTCCCAGCACCTCCCCAGGACTGAGGAGGGAGCACAGACCACTGTTTACTCCACAAATCAGCCCACTGCCTGAGGCAACAGAGAGCATCTCCCAGTAAACAAGGATCAAGTGTACACCCAGCCACTTTGGCCACAGCTAGCTCTTACCCGTAAGCGCCATCTACTGGCTGATAGGTAGAACTGCATATCCCAATTAAAAACCTGCCAACAGAAGTGCTTATGGTTACAGAAGCAAAGTCAAAAGACCCTACCCAGCATTCTCTATAGTCACACCCCCTAGGGAGTGGGGAAAGGGAAGGAGGAAAAAATAATATCACAGAAAAAGAAGGAAAAAATTCTACCTGCACAAAAATAATTACAAAAATTGAAGTGCCAATGTCTCCAGATGAGAAGGAACCAACACAAGGATTCTGCACCATGAAAAATCTGAATACAGTGACACCACCAAAGGATCACACAAGCTCTCCAGCAATGGTCCCTAACCAAAATGGAAACTCAGAAATGACAGAAAAAGAATTCAAAGCACCGACAAAAAGGAAGCTCAACAAGATCCAAGACAAGGTCGAATATCAACACAAAGAAACTTCTAAGGCAATCTAGGAAACAAAGGAAGAGATAAACATCTTAAAAAGAAATCAGGCCAGATACAGTAGCTCACATCTATAATCCCAGCACTTTAGGAGACTGAGGTGGGGGAATCGCTATGAGCCCAGGAGTTCGAGACAGCTTCTGGCCTATAGTTGTGCTCTGTGGGAACTCAGCTGGATGGCATGGCCTCCCGTTATCCTAGAAAGCACCTAGATGGCAGGGCGGGCATCCCCACCCACCTCTGCTACTGGTAGCCAGGCAAGCTGCACCTGCTACAGCTTCTAGTCCAGTGATCCTACTTCAGCCTGAATCTGTTGAGAAGCACAGCCTCCCGTCTTCCTGGAAACACTCAGATGACAGGGTGGTCAACTCCACCCACTCCTGGCCTGGCCTCTTGTAGCCAGACAGGCCATATCTGCAACAGCTTCCAGCCCAGCAGTCCCGCTTCTGCCTGAATTCCGTAGGCAGGCACAACCCTGTGATTCCTGGGGAGCACATGAACAGCAGAATAGGGCTTACCTGGCAAGGATACGGCCTTTGCATGAGGGAGCCCCATGGATCAGAACATCCAATAAAAGAAATGCAGGCATAGAGACAGTAAACAGAGGGGGCTCCTTCACAACCCAAGAGCAGACTAGACTCAAAGCCAGTCGACTGAACCCACCTTATACCATAATCAAACCTCCAAGGGCATCCAAGAAGATAAAAGCCAAAAAAAAAAAAAAAAAAAAAAAGCCAAAGGACAGCAACTTCAGAGACTGAAGAAATATCAGCCCACATGGATGAGAAAGAACCAGTACAAAAAACTCAAAAGGCCAGACTGTCCTGTCTTAACTCCAACTACATTGGTTCCCCAGCAATTATTCATAACCTGGCTGAAATGACAGAAATAGAATTCAGAATATGTATAGGAATGAAGATAACTGACATTCAGGAAATAGTCAAAGCCCAATCAAAAAATTCTAAGAAATAGAATAAAACAATACAGGAGATAAAAGATGAAATGGTCATTTTAAGAAAGAACCAAACTAAGCTGAAGGAACTGAAAAACTCACTTCAAGAATTTCAGAAAACAATCACAAATCTTAACAGCAAAATCAACCAAGATGAGAAAAGAATTTCAGAGCTCAAAGACCTGCTCTCCAAAATAACTCAGACAAAAACAAAAAAACAATAAATATGTGATTATGTAAAGAGACCAACTCTACGACTCATTGGCATCCCTGAAAGGGAGAAAAAGCAGGCAACTTGGAAAACATTTCAAGATATTATCCATGAACATTTCCTCAACCTCACTAAAGAGGCCAACATTCAAATTCAGGAAATGCAGAGAACCCCTGAAAAATACTACACAAGAAGACCAACCCCAAGACACACAGTCATCCGATTCTCCAAGGTCAAAATGAAAGAAAAAATGTTAAAGGCAGCCAGAGAGAGCAGGTAGGTCATCTAAAAAGGGAACCCCATCAGGCTAATGGCTGTACTTTGAGCCAAAAACCTACAAGCCAGAAGAGATTGTGGGCCTATGTATTGGTTAGTTCTCACACTGCTATAAAGACACACTGACTAGGTGCGGTGGCTCACACCTGTAATCCCAGCACTTTGAGAGGCTGAGGTGGGCAGATCACTTGATGTAAGGAGTTCAAGACCAGCCTGGCCAACACAGCAAAACCCCATCTCTACTAAAAATGCAAAAAAAAAAAAAATTAGCCGGGTGTGGTAGCAGGCACCTGTAATCCCAGCTACTCGCGAGGCTGAGGTAGGAGAATCACTTGAGCCCAGGAGGTGGTTGTGCAATGAGCTGAGACTGCACTGTTGCAGGAAGTCAGGGACCCCAAATGGAAGAACCGGCTGAAGCCATGGCCGAAGAACATAAATTGTGAAGATTTCATGGACATTTATTAGTTCCCCAAATTAATACTTTTATCATTCTTACACCTGTCTTTACTGCAAACTCTGAACATAAACTGTGAAGATTTCATGGACACTTATCACTTCCCCAATCAATACTCTTGTGACTTCCTATGCCTGTCTTTACTTTAATCTCTTAATCCCGTCATCTTTGTAAGCTGAGGATGAATGTTGCCTCAGGACCCTGTGATGACTGCGTTAACTGCACAAATTGTTTAAACAATAAGAAATCTGGGCACCTTGAAAAAAGAACAGGATAACAGCGATGTTCAGGGAACAAGGGAGATAACCTTAAAGTCTGGCTGCCTGTGGGCCGGGCAGAACAGAGCCTATTTCTCTTCTTTCAAAAGCAAATAGGAGAAGTATCGCTGAATTCTTTTTCTCAGCAAGCAACATCCCTGAGAAAGAGAATGCATTACCAAAGGGAGATCTCTGAAATGGCCGCTTTGGGAATGTCTGTCTTTTATGGTTGTAGATAAGGGACGAAATAAGCCCCTGTCTCCCATAGCGCTCTCAGGCTTATTAGGAAAAGGAAATTCCCGCCTAATAAATTTTGGTCAGACCGGTTATCTGCTCTCAAACCCTGTCTCCTGATAAAATGTTATCAATGACAATGCGTGCCCGAAACTTCATTAACAATTTTAATTTCGCTCCGTTCCTGTGATCTCACCCTGCCTCCATTTGCCTTGTGATATTTTATTACCTTGTGAAGCATGTGATCTCTGTGACCCACACCTTATTCGTACACTCCCTCCCCTTTTGAAAATCACTAATAAAAACTTGCTGGTTTTGCGGCTTTGGGGGCATCACGGAACCTGCCGACATGTGAAGTCTCCCCTGGACACCCAGCTTTAAAATTTCTCTCTTCTGTACTCTTTCCCTTTATTTCTCAGACTGGCCGACATTTAGGGAAAATAGAAAAGGACCCACGTGAAATATTGGGGGCTGAAATTCCCCCGATACTGCACCACTGAACTCCAGCCTGGGCGACAGAGCAAGACTCTGTATAAAAAAAAAAAAAAGACATACCTGAGACTGGGTAATTTATAAAGAAAAGTGGTTTAATCGGCTCTGGTTGTACAGGCTGCACAAGCTTCTGCTTCTGGGGAGGCCTCAGGACACTTACAATCATGGCAGAAGGCAAAGGGGAAGCAAGCATATCTTCACATGGCCAGCAGGAGAGAGAGAGCACAAAGTGGGGATCTGGTTGTTTTACACACTGTCCAACAACCAGATCTCATGAGAACTCTATCATGAGACAGCACTAGCAGGATGGTGCTAAACCATTAGAAACCACCCCCATGATCCAATCACCTCCCACTAGGCCCCACCCCCAACACTGGGGATTACAATTCAACATGAAATTTGGGTGGGGACACAGAGCCAAACCATATCAGCCTATATTCAGCATTCTTAAAGAAAAAACTTTCCAACCAAGAACTTCATATCTAGCCAAACTAAGCTTCATAAGCGAAGAAGAAATAATATCTGTTTCAGAAAAGCAAATGCTAAGGGATTTCATTACACCAGATCTGCCTTACAAAAAGTCCTGAAGGGAGTGCTAAACATGGAAAGGAAAAACAGTTACTGGCCACTATAAAAATACACTTAAGTACACAGGCTAGTAACCCTATAAAGGCACCACACAAGTCTGCATGATAACCAGCTAGCAACATGACAAAAGGAAATAATCCACACATCGCAATACTTACCTTGAATGTAAATGGACTAAATGCTCCAATTAAAAGGCACAGAGTGGCAAACTGGATATAGAAGCAAGACCCAATTGTATGCTGTCTTCAAGAGACCCATCTCAAATGCAATGGCACCCACAAGCTCCAAGTAAAAGGATGGAGAAAAATCTACCAAGCAAATGGAAAATAGAAAAAAGCAGAGGTTGCTACTCTAATTTCAGACAAAACAGACTTTAAACAAAGATTAAAATAAATAAATAAATAAAGGGCATTACATAATGGTAAAGGGCTCAGTTCAACAAGACCTAACTATTCTAAATATATACACACACCCAAAACAGGAGCAGCCAGATCCATAAAGCAAGTTCTTAGAGACCTATGAAGAGACACAGACAAACACACAATAATAGTGGGAGATTTCAACACCTCACTGACAACAGGCAGATCATTCAGGACCTGAACTCAACACTTGATCAAATAGACCTAACAGACATTTACAGAACACTCCACACAGACAAGAGAATATACATTCTTCTCATCTGAACAAGGCACATACTTTAAAATCAACCCACAATCGGACATAAAACAATCCTCATTAAATTAAAAAAAAAAACAAAATCATACAAAGCACACTCTCATACCACAGTGTAGTAAAAATAGAAATCAATACTAAAGAAACTCAGTCAAAACTGTATAATTACATGAAAATTAAGCAACCTGTTCTGGAATGATTTCTGGGTAAATAATGAAATTAAGGCAGAAATCAAGAAATTCTTTGAAACTAATGAGAAGAAAGTACAAAGGTACAAAAATCAGTAGCACTCCTATACACCAACATCCAAACTGAGAGCCAAAGCAAAAATGTAATCCCATTCACCATAGCCGCAAAAAGAATTAAAAACCTAGGAATATAGCTAACTAGAGAGGTTTACTATCTTTACAATGAAGATTATAAAACACTGCTCAAAGAAACAGAGAGGACACAAACAAATGGAAAAGCATTCCATGTTCATGGCTAGGAAGACTCAATATTGTTTGGCCAATGGCCATGCTGCCCAAAGCAATCTAAAGATTCAATGGTATTCCTATCAAACTACCAATGACATTCTTCACAGGATTAGAAAAAACTGTTTTAAAATTCATGTGGAACCTCAAAAGAGCCCAAATAGTGAATGCAAGCCTAAGCAAAAATAACAAAGCAGGAAGCACCACATTACCCAACTTCAAACTATACCACAAGGCTACAGTAACCAAAACAGCATGACACTGCTACAAAAACAGGCACACAAACCAACGGAACAGAATAGAGAGCACAAAAATAAGGCCATACACCTACAATCTGATCTTTCACAAAGCTGACAAAAACAAGCAATGGGGAAAAGACTCCCTATTCAATAAATGGTGCTGGGATAAGTGGATAACCATATGCAGAAGACTAAAACTGGACCCCTTCCTTGTACCATATACAAATACAAAAATCAACTCAAGATGGAGTAAAGACTTAAAGGTAAAACTTAAAACTATAAAAACCCTGGAATGATAACCTAGGAAATACCATTCTGGACATAGGCCCTGGCAAAGATATCATAACAAAGACTCCAAAAGCAACTGCAACAAAAACTGACAAATGAGACCCAATTAAACTAAGGAGCTTCTGCACAGCAAAAGAAACTATCAGAGTAATCAGATACCCTAGAGAATGGAAGAAAATATTTTCAAACTATGCAACTGAAAAATATCTAATATCCAGGATCTATAAGGAACTTAAACAAATTTACAAGCAAAAAACAACCCCACTAAAAAGTGGGCAAAGGACATGAACAGATACTTCTCAAAAGACCTAAATATGGGCAATAAGCATATGAAAAAATGCTCAACATTACTATCATTAGAGAAGTGCAAATCAAAACCATAATGAGATACCATCTCATACCAGTCAGAACGGCTATTATTAAAAAGTCAAGAAATAACAGATGCTGGCAAGGCTGCAGAGAACTGGAAATGTTTATGCGCTGCTGGTGGGAATGTAAATTCGTTCAGCCACTGTGGAAAGCAGCTTGGCAATTTCTCAGAGATCCCAAAGCAGAACTGCCATTCAACCCACAATCCCACTATTTAGTATATACCCAAAAGAATATAAATTGTTCCAACACAAAGACATATGCACATGTATGTTCACTGCAGCACTACTCACAATTGCAAAGACATGGAATCAACCTAAATACCCATTAACGGTAGACTGAATAAAGAAAATATGGCATATATACATCATGGAATACTACACAGCCATAAAAAAGAGTGACATCATGTCCTTTACAGCAACATGGATGGAGCTGGAGGCCATTATCCTAAGCGAACACAGGAACAGAAAACAAAATATTGCATGTTCTTCACTAATAAATAGGAGTTAAACACTGAGTACAGTGGGCACAAAGAGGGGAACAACTGACACCAGGGCCTACTTGAGGGTGGAGGGTGGAAGAAGAGTGAGGATTGAGAAACTACCTACTGGGTACTATGCTTATTACCTGGGCAATGAAACAAATCTATACATCAAACCCCTCAAAACACAATTGACCTACATAACAAATACCCCGGACCCTAAAATAAAATAAAATTTAAAAATCAATCAGAGCTTCTGGAACTAAAGAACTTAAATTTAAAAACAGGAGGTGAAGGCGGGTGGATCATTTGAGGTCAGGAGTTTGAGACCTGCCTGGCCAACATGTTGAGACCCCGTCTCTACTAAAAACACAAAAATTAGCCAGGTGTGATGGTGCGTGCCTGTAATCTCAGCTACTTGGGAGGCTGAGGCAGGAGAATCACTTGAACCTGGAAGGCGGAGGTTGCAGTGAGCCGAGATTACACCATTACACTCCAGCCCAGGCAAAAGAGTGAGACTCTGCCTAAAAAACAAACAAACAAACAAATAAAAACAATTGAAAGCTTTATCAATAAACTGAACCAAACAGAAGAAAGAATTTCAGAGCTTAGAGACGAGACTCTCAAACAAACCCAGTCACGCAAAAATAAAGCAAAAAGAATTTTTTTTTTTTTTGAGACAGAGTGTCACTCAAGTCGCCCAGGCTGGAATGCAGTGGCTCGATCTCCGCTCACTGCAAGCTCTGCCTCCTGGGTTCACGCCATTCTCCTGCCTCAGCCTCCCGAATAGCTGGGACAGCAAAAAGAATTTTTTAAAATGAACAAAGTCAGGCCAGGTGTGCTGGCTCATGTTTGTAATCCCAGCACTTTGGGAGGCCAAGGTGGGCAGATCACTTGAGGCCAGAAGATCGAGACCAGCCTGGCAAACGTGGCCGAAACCCTGTCTCTACTAAAAACACAAAAATTAGCCAGGCATGGTGGCACATACCTGTAATGTCAGCTACCTGGGAGGCTGAGCCACAAGAACCCCTTGAACCTGGGAGGCAAAGGTTGTGGTGAGCCAAGATTGTGCCATTGCACTCCAGCCTGGGTGACACAGCAAGACTCTCAAAAAAAAAAAAAAAAAGAATAAAGTCTTGGAGAAATATGGGATTATGTAAACTGACCGAATCTACAAATTATTGGCACTCCTGAAAGAGACCGAGAAGAAGAAAACCACCTGGAAAATATATTTGAGAAAATAATTCAAGAAAATTTCCCTAATCTTGCTAAAGAGATAGATATCCAGGTATAAGAAATCCAGAGCACCTGTGAGACACTATGCAAAATGAACATCACCAAGGCATATCATCACCAGACTGTTGAAGGTCAATGCTAAGGAAATAATCTTAAAGACAAATAGAGAAAAAGGTCAGATCATGTATAAAGGGAACCACATCAGTCTAACAGCAGAGTTCTCAAGACATAGAGTGGCACACTGGATAAGAAAAACAAGACCCATCCGTCTGCTGTCTTCAAGAGACCCATCTCACATCTAATGACACCCATAGGCTCAAAGTAAAGAGCTGGAGAAAGATCATGCAAAGGGAACACAAAAAAGAGCAGGGGTTGCTATTCTTATATCACAGAAAACAGACTTTAAACCAACAACAGTAAAAAAAGACAAGGGCATTACAGAGTGATAAAATATTCAATTCAACAAGACTTAACTATCCTAAATATATACACACTCAAAATTAGAGCACCCAGATTTATAAAACAAGTACCTTTAAACCTAAGGAAAAACTCAGCCACACAAGTAGTAGTGGGAAACTTCAACATCCCCATGACAACGTTAGATCATTGAGGCAAAAACCTAACAAATTCTGGACTTAAATTTGACACAGACCAACTGGACCTAATAGTCACCTACAGAATACTCCACCCATCAACCATACAATATGATCTGGAACATGACAAGGATGCCCACTATCACCACTGTTATTCAACACAGTACTGGAAAGTCCTAGCTAGGGCAATCAGACAAAAGAAATAAAAGACATTCAAATTGGAAAGGAAGAAGGAAAACTATCCTTGTTTACAGACAATATTATCTTATTTTTGGAAAAACCTAAAGACTCCACCAAAAAACTATTAGGACTGATAAACATTCAGTAAAGTTGCAGGGTATAAAATGAACATACAAAAATCAGTAGCATTTCTGTATGCTAACAGTGAACAATCTGAAAAAGCAATTTTAAAAAGTAATCCCATTTACAAGAACCACAAAAAAAATTAAATACATAGGAAGTAACTTAACCAAAAAAGTAAAAGATGTCTACAATGAAATTATAAAACACTGATGAAAGAAATTGAGGAGGATGCAAAAAAAAATGGATATTGCATATTAACGGACTCAAAGAATCAATATTTTTAACTTGTCTGCACTAACTAATCTACAGATTCAAGGCAATGCAATCCCTATCAACATACCAATAATATTCTTCATGGAAATAGAAAAAACAATCCTAAAATTTATATGGAACCACAGAAGACACAGAATAGCTAAAGCAATCTTGGGCAAAAAAAAAAAAAAAAAGAACAAAACTGAGGAATCCTATTACTTGACTTCAAATTATACTATAGAGTTACAGTAACCAAAACAGCATGTACTGGCATAAAAACATAGAAATAGACCAATTGAACAGAACAGAGAATCCAGAAACAAATCCACACACCTACAGTAAACTCATTTTCAACAAAGGTGCCAAGAACATTCATTGGCAATGGGAAAAGGACAGTCTCTTCAATAAACAGGGCTGGGAAAACTAGATATCCATGTATAGAAGAATGGAACTAGACCCCTAACTCTCACCTTATACAAAAATCAAACCAAAATGGATTACAGACTTAAATCGAAGACCTGAAACAATGAAACTACTACAAGAAAACACTTGGAAAACCCTCCAGAGCATTGGTCTGGGAGAAAATCTATTGAATAACACCCCACAAGCACAGGCAACCAAAGCAAAAATGGACAAATAGGATCACATCAAGTTAAAAAGCTTTTGCGCAACAAAGGAAACAATCAACAAAGAGACGACTTACAGAATGGAAGAAAATATTTGCAGCCTACCCATCTGAGAAGGGATTAATAACCAGAACATATAAGGAGCTCAAACAACTCTACAGGAAAAAAAAAATCTAATACTCTGATTTTTTAAATGGGCAAAAGATCTGACTAGACATTTCTCCAAAGAAAACATATAACTGGTAAAGAGGCATATGAAAAAGTTCTCAACATCACTGTAAGTGTCCATCAACAGATGAACGTATGGATAAAGAAAATATTATACATATACATCATGGAGTACTATTCAGCCATAAAAAGACTGAGATCCTGTCATTTACAACAACATGGATGGAACTGGAGGTCATGTTAAGTGAAATAAGCCAGACACAGAAAGATAAACATTGTATGTTCTCACTTATTTGTGAGAGCTAAAAATCAAAACAATTGAACTCATGGAGACAGAGAGAAGGATGGTTACCAGAGGCTGAGAAGGGCAGTGGAGGGGATGAGGGCAGGGGGGGTAGGAAGTGACAGATAATGGGTATAAAAAGCAGTTAGAAAGAATAAGACCTAGTATTTGATAGCACTACAGGGTGACTATAGTCAATAATAATTTAATTGTACATTTTAAAATAACTAAAAGAGTATAATTGGATTGCTTGTAACAAAGGATAAATGCTTGAGGGGATGAATAACCCATTTACCACGAGATGATTATTACGCACTGTATGCCTCTATCAAAGTATCTCGTACCACCTAAATACATACACCTACTATATACCCCCAAGAATTAAAAATTAAAAGAATCAATGAAACCAAAAGTTGGTTCTTTGAAAGGTTATATGAGATTAACAGACCACCAGATAGATAAACTAAGAAGAAAGGAGATCCAAATAAGCAATCAGAATTGACAAAAGTGACATTACAACCAATTCCACAGAAATACAAAACATCCTCAAAGACTATTATGAACACCTGTACACACACAAACTAAAAAATCTAGAGAAAATGGATAAATTCCTGAAAAATCACAACCCCCCAAGATTGAATTAGAAAGAAACTGAAACCCTAAACACACCAATATCAAATTCCAAAACTGAATAAGTAATAAAATACCTACCAACCAAAAAAGGCCCTAGACCAGATGGATTCACAAATTCTACCAGACATACAAAGAAAAACTGGTAACAGTCTTCCTGAACCTACTCCAAAAAATCAAGGAGGGGGGACTCCTCCCTAACTCATTCTATGAAGCCAGCATCACCTTGATACCAAAACCTGGCAAAAACACAACAAAACAAGTAAACTGCAGGCCAATATCCCTGATGAACATAAACGTAAAAATCTTCAACACACGACTAGCAAGCCGAATCCAGCAGCACACCAAAAAGTTAATTCACCATGATTAAGCAAGCTTCACTCTTGTGATGCAAGGTTGGTTCAACATACACAAATCAATAAATGTGATTCACCACATAAACAGAATTAAAAATAAAAACCCTATGATCATCTCAATAGATACAGAATAAGCTTTTGATAAAATCCAACATCCCTTATGATAAAAACCCTCAAAAAAACTAGGCATCAAAGGAACATACCTCAAAATAATAAGAGCCATCTATGACAAACCCACAGCCAATCATACTGAACAGGCAAAAGCTAAGAGTATTCCCCTTGAGAGCTGGAACAAGACAAGGATGCCCACTCTCACTTAACATAGTACTGGAAGTCCTTGTCAGAACAATTGCACAAGAGAAAGAAATAAAAGGCATCCAAATAGGAAAAAAATAAGTCCAACTAGCTCTCTTCACTGACTATGTGATTCTATACCTAGAAAACCCTAAAGACCGCAAACGGGCTCCTACAACCAATAAATGACTCAGTAAAGTTTCAAGATACAAAGTCAATGTACAAAAATCAGTAGCATTTCCATACAACAATAACGTTCAAGCTGAGAGCCAAATCAAGAACACAATTCCATTTACAATAGAATCAACAACAACAAAATACCTAGGAATACATAGAAACAAACAAACAAATACCAAGGAGGTGAAAGATCTCTACAAAAACTACAAAACACTGCTGAAAGAAATCACATATGATGCAAACAAATGGGTAAGCATTCCATGCTGCTGGTTTGAAAGAATCAAAAAAATTAAGGAGGAGGGACTCCTCCCTAAACTCATTCTATGAAGCCAGCATCACCTTGATACCAAAACCTGGCAAAAACACAACAAAACAAGTAAACTATAGGCCAAATAGCCTGTGGTAAGTAAACTATATGGCCAAATTAAAATGGCCACACTGCTCAAAGCAATCTGCAGATTCAATACTATTCCTATAAAGCTACAAACATTTTTCACAGAACCAGAAAAAAACTACTCTAAAATTCATATGGAACCAAAAAAGAACCTGAGTAGCCAAGGCAATCCTAAGCAAAAAGAACAAAGTGTGATGCATCACACTACCTGAGTTCAAACTATACCATAAGGCTACAGTAAGTAACCAAAACAGCACGGTTCTAGTACAAAACAGACATACAGACCAATGGAACAGAATGGAGAACCCAGAAATAAAGCCAACAGCTACAGCCATCTGATCTTGTATAAAGTTAACAAAAATGAGCAATGGGAAAAGTCTTCCTATTAAATAAATAGTGCTGGGATAGCTGGCTAGCCATATGCAGAACAATGAAATTATACCCCTACCTTTTACCATATACAAAAATTAACAAGATGGATTAAAGATTTAAATGTAAAACCTAAAATTATAAGAACCCTAGAAAAAAACCTAGGAAACACCATTCTGGACATGTGCCTTGGGAAATAACTTATGACTAAGTCCTCAAAAGCAAATGTAACAAAAACAAAAATTGACAAGTGGGACCTAATTAAAGAGCTCTTCCACAAGAAAACAATCAACAGGGTCAACAGACAACCTATAGAATGGGAGAAAATACTGACCAACTATGCATCTGACAAAGGTCTAATACCCAAAATTTATAAGGAATGTAAACAATTGAACAAGCAAAAACAAAGGACAAAAGATACAAACAGACACTTCCCAAAAGAAGACATACAAGTGGCCAAGAAACATATAAAAATGTTCAACATCGCTAATCATTAGGGAAATGCAAATCAAAACCACAATCAGATATCATCTCACACCAGTGAGAATGGGTATTATTAAAAAGTCAAGAAATAAGAGATGTTGGAGGCTATGGAGAAAAGGGAAGGCTTACACACTGTTGGTGGGGATGTAAATAGTACAGCCACTATGGAAAGCAGTTTGGAAATCTCTCATATAACTTAAAATAGAACTACCATTTGACACAGCAACCCATTACTGGGTAAACTTTCAAAAGAAAATAAATTGTTCTTACCAAAAGACACACGCACTCATATGTTCATCACAGCACTATTCACAATAGCAAAGACATATAAAATCAACCTAGGTACCCAACAATGGTGGACTGGATAAAGAAAATGTGGTCCACGTACACCATGGAATATTACGCAGCCATAAAAAAAGAATGAAATCATGTCCTTCGCAGCAACATGGATGCAGCTAGAGGCCATTATCCTAAGCAAATTAACACAGGAACAGAAAACCAAATACTGCCATGTTCTCACTTATAAGTGGGAGCTAATCAATGGGTATTTGTGGACACAAAGATGGCAATGATACTGGGCACCACCAGCAGGAGTAGTGAGGGAAAGGGGGAAGGGTTGAAAAACTAACTACTAGGTAACATGCTCACTACCAAGGTGATGGGATCAATCATACCCCAAACCTCAGCATAACACAATATACCCAGGTAACAAATCTACTACACATGTACCCCATGAATCTAAAATAAAAACTGAAATTATAAAAGAAAAAAAATCACACATGCATTGGAAAAAAATAAAAAGAAAAAAGGAAATGTGACAAAATGTTAAAAACTGGTGAACTGGCCGGGCACTTTGGCTCATGCCTGTAATCTCAGCACTTTAGGAGGCCAAGACAGGCACATCACCTGAGGTCAGGAGTTCAAGACCAGCCTGGCCAACATGGTGAAACCCTGTCTCTACTAAAAACACAAAAATCAGCCAGGCATGGTGGCATATGCCTGTAGTTCCAGCTACTCGGGAGGCTGAGGCAGGATAATCACTTGAATATGGGAGGCAGAAGTTGCAGTGAACTGAGATTGCACCACTGCACTCCAGCCTGGGCAACAGAGTGAGACTTCGTCTCAAAACAATCAAACAAACAAACAAACAAAAACTGGTAAATTTAGTAGAAGGTATATAGGAGTTCTCTATTTTAAATAATTTTATATGTCAACTTGACTGAACCACAGGATGCCCAGACATTTGGTCAAACACTATTCTGGGTGTGTCTTTGAGGGTATTTCTGGATGAGATAAAAACCTGGATTAGTAGACTGAGTAAGGCAGATTGCCCACCCAATGTGGCAGACCTCATCTGTTGAGGGTATGAATAGAACAAAAAGGCTGTAAGAGGGAACTCTGCCTGCCTGAGTGCTTTAACTGAACATTGGTGTTTTCCTCCCTTTGGACTCAAGACTGAAACAACAAAACTCTTCTCAGGTCTAGAACCTGCTGGCTTTTGGACTAGAACTTATACCACCGGCTCTCCTGCTTTTCAGGCCTTCACACTCAGTCAGGAATTACATATTAACTGTTTTGGGTATCCAGCTTACCAATGGCATATCTTGGGACTTCTCAGCTTCTAGGATCATGTGAGCCAATTCCTTGTAATATATACTATATAAGAAATTATATAGTGTATGTAATTATATAAGGATTATATATATAATAAAATATATATACACATCCTATTCATTCTGTTTCTCTGGAGAACCCTAATACACTGTAAATTCTCCCAAATTATACAGAAGCTCCTCAACTTAAAAACCTTCAACCTGCAGGCTGGGGCACGGTGGCTCACACCTGTAATCCCAGCACTTTGGGAGGCCGAGGCGGGCGGATCACGAGGTCAGGATATCAAGACCATACTGGCTAACACAGTGAAACCCCGTCTCTATTAAAAATTAGCCGGGCGTGGTGGCGGGCGCCTGTAGTCCCAACTACTCGGGAGGCTGAGGCAGGAGAATGGCGTGAACCCAGGAGGTGGAGCTTGCACTGAGTCAAGATTGCGCCATCACACTCCAGCCTGGGCGACAGAGTGAGACTCCATCTCAAAAAAAAAAAACCTTCAACCTGCAAATTTTCATAGAAACCAACAAAGCTACACATCCAATAGACAGTACAACTCTAATGCAGGTACTGTTATAACTGAAGTGTTTTACGGTTTTTTCTTCCTGCTTAAAGCACTTGGTACATAAGTATCTCTAACTCGATTCCATAATAAGACAGAGACGCTTGGTCTCAAACATTTTTGTTTGAGTATTACGGTGAACATTACGCTACAACATAAATTTTAAAAGAAAAAGTACAACTGTTACCACCAACAGATGGCGTTAGTGATCACTTGTTTAGCATCAATCTGGACTTGAGACAAAATGAGCCGAGGAACAGCTTTTTGGACCTAAGCTCATATATCCATAAATTTTTGCCTCATGCTAATAATACAGATGAATATTATTTAGGAGATGGAAGATATTTTAGAGATCTCAACTTAGGGTGCATTTCAAACCCCCAGGTCTTCTCTAATTTTAATATTTGACTTGTCTCAGGGCCCATGTCCCACCCCCAAATACCATAGAGAATCATGGCTGTAGGAATTCATTGTAAAGTGATGAGAAAGTGTTGTATCTTTCAAATGTGTAAGAATGAAAGAATACGAAGGCAGGAAAAAAAAGGACAAATTTGCTAACCCACTGCTTTGTTCCAATCCTGATTTTACATAAGACAACATCAATCCAATGCCAAGGTCATGTGATCTTGCCAAGTCCACATAACCAGTATGGCACATTCAGTGCCTCGTATTCAGTGGACTACCAGTAGTTCAAGTACAGTACAGAGGGCAAATGTAAACAGAGGTGGGAAGCATCAGGAACTGAGTCTGAAGAAATAAAGGGCAATGTTTGTCACAATAACAGAAAAGCCTGGACTGTACACAATGAAAAGGCAGAGTCCATATTAATGAACTATTAAATTGTATCTTACAAATTCCATTCAGGATACATACATAAACAGAAAAAGAGAGAGAGAAAGACCATACTGAATTCAGAAGTCTCAACAAATGGATACCTAAGCAATGACTTCCCCTACAACAGACCCTTGGTATCAGTTTATTAAGTATTTTTTCCAAGGCAACTTGAAAGATTTCCAAATTGGAGAATATTACTATGGCATATAAAACATTAAAGTATAACTATTTTTTAACTCCTTCAGACCTTTAATGATTCTAAGAAGATTGAAATAATTTATACTTATTCACATTACTATATAAACTGTAAAGCTGACTCATATGCACCATGAATTTAAGCCATCACGAAATGTTACATTTTACTCTTTAATTTACTCTAAATTCTTCCTTCTACAGCTATTGCTTTTTGCTTCTCTTTGATCACCAGCAGTAGGAGTAGCTGCAGGAAGATAGTGCTGGCAACAAAAGCTACTATGGCCAGGCAACATGGCTCACACCTGTATCTCACCACTTTGGGAGAGGGAAGTGAGAGGGCCACTTGAGCCCAGGAGTTTGAGACCAGCCTAGGCAACAAAGTGAGACCCTCCCCCCCGCCACCAATCTCTACAAAAAAAAAAAAATTAAAAATTAGCTGGGCATGGTGGTTCATGCCTATAGTCCCATAGTCCCAGCTACTTGAAAGGCTGGGGTGAGAGAATTGCTTCAGCTTGGGAGGTCAAGGCTGCAGTGGGCCAAGACTGTGCCACTGCACACTAGCCTGGGCAACAGAGTGACACCCTGTCTCAGAAAAAAAAAAAAAAAAAATTACTACACAAATAGTAGAGATTAGCAAATCAAACTGAGATTTACCTACTAGGTAGCAGACTAGGACCAATCTGGGCTCAGTAAATTACAAATTGTCATATGCCATGCATCCTCCCTGTCATTCATGGGATGGAATAGTGAGAACCCACAATTATAAGTGTTAATTTGTGAAAGCCAGGAATCTATTCTATCAGCAACCGACTAGGAAAAAAAACGTTTTTTGCTCTAATAGTAAAGATCCCTCTGGTCTTTTAAAAGTAACAACACCTATAACAACATAAATATTTGCATAGCGACTTGTAGCTTACCCACATACTTTAATTTCACCAGAAGGATTTCAAGAAATGTTCTAGTAAATTTATGACCTAGTTTTTCATCAGAACATTTTTATTAAGAACTGAGAGTACTAGGTCTCTGAAGATACACTTACTCCTTCCTGCATAAGTTCCGGAGGCCACCCAATGACCAGAAGAAGGGAATTTCCTGTATAAGTATTGAGGTGTTACAGAGATTGAAACACTGTTCTTCATTTATTCTAATACTCCTCTAAGATAAATATTATTATTTATCAATAATGTAATCAATTTAAGAAATTGATAACCAGTTTAGAAAAGGAGGCTTAAAGAGGTTCAGAAGGTTATGGAATAGTGTTCTCTCTCAAGAAGAGCAAATAAAGCTTTCCAAGAAAACTTCCTTCCATATTCCTCCCCACTCTGAAAAAAGGTGTCCCTATTTGTTTCATTTGCTAGAATTCCTTCGTATTTACTTCTGTCTGCCAAGGAAGAGATGTCAGGAATATCTTCACAGAGAATCTGGTATCTGAGATGAGTCTTAACAAGTAGAAAATGGGCATATGGAAGGGAAATTTATGGTAAGGGCAATCCTGGCACGAGGAAATGCTATTTGCAAAGCCACAAGAACGGAAGAAATTGCCATAACGGAGGAATGTTGGTTCTTTGTAGAAAAAAGCATAAGGGTTTGGGGGGGAGGGACATAGGGTGTGTGTGTCTGTGTGTGTGAACATGGAAGATAAATTACAAAGACTCTAGCCAGCTCAAGAAGCACTTACAACAGCATGGAAATAAATGTACTTTAATGTAAATCAAGATTTCCTAACTAAGAGACATGAATAAAACTTTAGGGCCATACATTGTCCAATTCCCCCCAAAGTATGAATACTGTGTACATGAACACACCCAAAAATAAACTCATTTTCCTGGATCCATAGCTATTAGTGATTTTCAAAGGGACTCAGGAATAAAAAGCAGTTAAGAACCACTGTTCTGGGTGACTGGGAGTCCCTGTATAATTATAGACAGAGAAATGTACCACAATACTTTTATTTTAGAAAGGTAGCTTAGGTAACATATGCGGACATTTGACGAATTTGAGAACCTTAAATGCAGAAGGAGCAATAAGAAGGTTATTATCCTACTGCAGCCAAGAAATTATAAATACGAACATCAAAAAACCTAATTCCAGAGACTTTTCAAAGTAAAAGTGCCTGAATTCATCAACCAGCTACATGCAGACTGTGAGAGAGAAAAAAGCTAAGGTTGCCTTATTCTACTTCTTAAAGTTCACGTCATTCACTTATTACATACCATCATCAGTAAAAGCCATTAAACACAGCACAGCAGCTGCAAGTGATAGGGTGCCACTTTGTTTTATTTGCAATGAGCCACCACTGGAAAATTAAGCACAAAATATCAAATATCCCAAAGAGGAGACACTGGTGGCCTAGAGCAAGGTTTGCCAAACTGGCCCACAAGCTAAATCCAGCCCCATTTTTGTAAATAAAATTTTAACAGAACACAGCCACTCATCCATTTATGTGTTGTCTATGGCTGCTTTCACACTCCAAAAGCAGAACTGAATAGCTGCAACAGAGACTTGCATGGCCTGCAAAGTGTAGATTTTAATTTACTTTTTGGGCCTTTAGAGAAGGTTTGCCAACCTCTCGCCTAGAACAAAAATGGATAGATTCTACTTCAGAAAGTACTGTTTTTTTGTTTGTTTTCTTGAGACAGAGTCTCACTCTGTCACCAAGGCTGGCGAACAGTGGCGTGATACTGGCTCACTGTAACCTCAACCTCCCAGGCTCCAGAGATCCTCCCACCTCAGCCCTCCAAGTAGCTGGGACAACAGGTGTGCGCCACCATGCCTGGCTAATTTGTGTGTGTGTGTGTTGTTGTTGTTTTTGTAGAGATGGGGTTTTGCCACACTGCCCAGGCTGGTCTTGAACTCCTGAGCTCAGGCAATCTGCTTGCCTCAGCCTTCCAAAGTGCTGGAATTACAAGCGTGAGCCACCACACCCAGCCAGAAAGCACTGCTTTAGTGCAACAGATGTGAGTAATATGCAAAGTAAGGCACTCTCTACCTCTGTGCATGGATCAAATCCAGCCATGTAGCCATCAGCCTTCTGGAGCAGCTGTAGATAACTCTGCAATAGCAGCAAGCTACTTCTAAGATCCTCATCAAATTGAATTTACAAAATCCCAAGTGTTACTCCGTTTAGAAAAATACTACTCCTCAAAAGCAACATATTAGGGGCCAACGTTTCAAACCAATCCAAATCATTGTCCTTCCCCTATTCTTCCATTCATATCTACCTTCTCTCTCCTCAAGGTTGTCTTTTAAAACGAAAAAGAAGAAAATGCTAAAGATCCAAGTGTTATTAGTAAACTGCTGAAAAACCAGGCTCACTGCAACCTCCGCCTCCTGGGTTCAAGTGATTCTCCTGCCTCAGCCTCCTGAGTAGCTGGGATTATAGGCACCCACTACCACGCCAGCTGATTTTTGTATTTTTAGTAAAGACAAGGATTCATCATGTTAGCCAGGCTGGTCTCACACTCTGGACCTCAGGTGATTCATCCACCTTGGCCTCCCAAAGTGCTAGGATTATAGGCGTGAGCCACCACACCCAGCCTGCATGAATTAAAAAAAAATTTTAAAAACAGCTTTATTTGGTCCAAAAACAAAAGACAAATTTTGGTCTATTAATTACGTGACAGACTAAATGGGTTGTTGGTGGTGTGTACCTGTAAGTGAGAGGACAGCTTGAGCCCAGGAGTTCAAGACTAGCCTAGGCAACACAGCAAGACTCCGTCCACCTCAATGTTTAAAAAACAAAACAAACAAACAAAAAAACCTTTATATATAGGTTACACACAATAAATTACACATGTTCAAAGTACATATATAGTATACACCTATGAAAAATCAAGATAGGGAACATACTTAGTCACCCCCAAAGTGCCTGCCTTCTTTTTTTTTTTTTTTTGAGACAGAGTCTCACTCTGTCACCCAGGTTGGAATGCAGTGGCGCAATCTCGGCTCACTGCAACCTCCGCCTCCTGTTCAAGCGATTCTGCTGCCTCAGCCTCCTGAGTAGCTGGGATTACAGGTGCCCGCCACCACAGCCAGCTAATTTTTATATTTTTAGTAGAGATGGGGTTTCACTATGTTGGCCAGGCTGGTCTCGAACTCCTGACCTCAGGTGATCCACCTGCCTCAGCCTCCCAAAGTGCTGGGATTACAGGCGTGAGCCACCGTGCCCAGCCAGTGCCTGCCTTCTTTTGCTCTGCATAATTATTTTGAGACCTCATCCCTGTTGTTGTGACTATCAATAAATAGTTCATTCCTTTATATTGCTAAATAGTATAGTCACATCACAATTTGTTTATCCATTTTTTCCAGTTTGTGACTATCATAAATAAAGCTGCTGTGAACATTAGTACACAAGTCCTTTCAGTAGATACCTAGGAGTGGAGCTGCTGGTAGGTGTACGTTAACTTCTTTTTTTTTTTTTTTTGAGACGGAGTCTCACTCTGTTGCCCAGGCTGGAGTGCAGTGGCACAATCTTGGCTCACCACAACCTCCACCTCCCAGGTTCAAGGGATCATCTTGCCTCAGCCTCCCGAGTGGCTGGGATTACAGGCATATGCCATGATGCCCAGCTAATTTTTGTATTTTTAGCAGAGACAGGGTTTCACCATGTTGGCCAGGCTGGTCTCAAACTCCTGACCTCAAGTGATCCACCCGCCTCGGCCTCCCAAAGTGCTGGGATTACAGAAGTGAGACGTTGTGCCCAGACTGTATGTTAGCATTTTAAGAAACAACCAAACTGTCTCCTAAAGTAGTTGTACTGTTTTACAGTCCTAAAAGCAAAGTATAGAGTTCTAGTCTTTCACATCTTTGCGAACACTTGGTATGGTCAGTCTTTTAGATAGGTAGTGCTAGTTCACTGATTTTAATTCCCATTTATTTAGTAACTATTAACATTATGATTAATGTAATATAGGCTCTCTGCGGATCGTGCAGGGCCTGAGCGTCTCCGCTGGCACAGGCTCTGCTCGCACCAGCTCGCTCCTGCTGCCATGCCCACCACCATCAAGTGGGAGTTCAAGGAGTTGGATGCTCAGCATCGCTGGCAGCTGCTGTACTTGATGATCACAGTTGTGTTAAACTGCAAAATGCTGAGAATGATTATATTAATGCCAGCTTAGTTGACATAGAAGAGGACAAAGGAGTTACATCTTAACACAGGGTCCACTTCCTAACACATGCTGCCATTTCTGGCTTATGGTTTGGCAGCAGAAGACCAAAGCAGTTGTCATGCTGAACCGCATTATGGAGAAAGAATTGGTTAAATGTGCACAGTACTGGCCAACAGATGACCAAGAGATGCTGTTTAAAGAAACAGGATTCAGTGTGAAGCTCTTGTCAGAAGATGTGAAGTCGTATTATACAGTACATCTACCACAATTAGAAAATATCAATAGTGGTGAAACCAGAACAATATCTCACTTTCATTATACTACTTGGCCAGATTTTGGAGTCCCTCAATCACCAGCTTCATTTCTCAATTTCTTGTTTAAAGTGAGAGAATCTGGCTCCTTGAACCCTGACCATGGACCTGTGGTGATCCACCGTAGTGCAGGCACTGGACGCTCCAGCACCTTCTCTCTGGTAGACACTTGTCTTGTTTTGATGGAAAAAGGAGATGATATTAACATTAAACAAGTGTTACTGAACATAAGAAAATTCCAAATGGGTCTTATCTCAGACCCCAGATCAACTGAGATTCTCATACATGGCTATAACAGAAGGAGCAAAATGTGTAAAGGGAGATTCTAGTATACAGAAACGATGGAAAGAACTTTCTAAGGAAGACTACCTCCTGCTTTTGATCATTCACCAAACAAAATAATGACTGAAAAATACAATAGGAACAGAATAGGTCTAGAAGAAGAAAAACTGACAGGTGACTGACGTACAGGACTTTCCTCTAAAATGCAAGATACAATGGAGGAGAACAATGAGAGTGTTCTACGGAAACGTATGTGAGAGGACAGAAAGGCCACCACAGCTCAGAAGGTGCAGCAGATGAAATAGAGGCTAAATGAGAATGAACGAAAAAGAAAAAGGCCAAGATTGACAGATACCTAATATTCATGACTTGAGAATATTCTGCAGCTATAAATTTGGAACCATTGATGTGCAAATCAAGACCTGAAGCCCACTCTGGAAACTTAAGTGAGGCTCGCTAACCCTCTAGATTGCCTCACAGTTGTTTGTTTACAAAGTAAACTTGACATCCAGGGAATGAAGAGCATCCACCAGCTAAGACCTTGCAGAACCTTTAACTGGATGTTAAGTGTTTATAATGCATGTATGAAATGTAGAAAGATGTACAAGAAATAAATTAGGAGAGATTACTTTGTATTGTACTGCCATTCCTACTGTATTTTTATACTTTTTGGCAGCATTAAATATTTTTGTTAAATAAAAAAATATATATAAGGACTAAACATCTTTTCATATACTTAGCGTATCTTCTGTGGTGAGGTATCTATCAAATATTTTGCAGATTTCAAAAAGTTGGATTGTTGGTGTTGAGAGTTCATTAGTATATATTCTATATACAAGACCTTAATCACATATTTGATTTGCAAGTATTTTCTGCCATCCTGCAGCCGGTCTTTTCATTCTCTTAAGAATTCTCTCTTCGGCTGGGTGTGGTGGCTCACACCTGTAATACCAGCACTTTGGGAGTCTGAGGTGGGTGGATCACCTGAGGTCAGGAGGTCGAGACCAGCCTGGCCAACATAGTGAAACCCCATCTCTACTAAAAATACAAAAATTAGCCAGGTATGGTGGCACATGCCTGTAGTCCCAGCTACTTGGGAGGCTGAGGCAGGAGAATTGCTTGAACCTGGGAGGTGAAAGTTGCAGTGAACCAAGATCACACCACTGCCTCCAGCCTGAGCGACAGAATGAATCTCAAAAAAAAAAAAAAAAAAAAAAAAGAAGAATTGAATTCTCTTTTGAATAGCACATTTTCAATTTGATAAAAAATCATTTTATCAATGTGCTATTTTAAGGATCATGCTTTTGGTGTTGTAACTAAAAATAATTTTGCTTGACTCAAGATAAAGATTTTGTCCTAATTTTGCCAAAAGTTTGTAATTTAAGTCTTGACCATTTAGGTCTTTGATTCATTTTGAGCTCATTTTCCCATACAGTGCAAGATACAGACTGAAGTTCATTTGTTTGCATTTGGATATCCATTTTGTGCCAGCATTATTTGTTGAATAGACTATCCTTTCTCTGCTGAACTGCCTTTGCACCTTGTCAAAATTCAGTTGTCCATTTATGTACTGGCTTACTTCTGGACTCTGTTCTATTCCATTGATCTATTTCATCATCCTTATACAAATACAACATTGTTTTGACTACTTCAGATTTATAATAAATTGTGATATCAGATAGCATTAGACCTCCAACTTTGTTCTTCTTTTTACAAAGCTGTTTTGGCTATTCTACGTCCTTTACATTTCCACACGAATTTTAGAATCAGCTTGCCAATTTCTATTCCCCCACCCCACCGCCAAAAAAGAAAGCCTGCTGGCATTTTGACTGGAATCACATTGATCAATTTAGGGATAATTGTCTTCTTAGCAACGAGTCTTCTCACCCATAAACAAAGAGTATCTATCTCCCCACCTATCTAAGTCTTCTTTACTTACTTTCTATGATGCTGTGTAATTAACAGTATTTCATATCTGATACTATTATCAATAGTACTGGTTTTATTACATTTCAATTTCCAACTGCTCATTGCTAAATAAATGCAATTGATATTTACAGACTGATTCTGTAATCCACAACTTTACTAAATTCACTTAGTCCCAGAAATTTTGCAAGTTCCATCAGATTTTCTACAGACAATCATGTCAACTACAAAGAAGATACTTTACTTCCTCCTTTCCAGTCTGGATGCCTTTTCCTTTCTTTTTTTTTTTTTTTTTTTTGAGATGGAGTCTCGCTCTGTCGCCCAGGCTGGAGTACAGTGGTGCGATCTCGGCTCACTGCACCCTCTGCCCTCCCAGTTTCAAGTGATCCTCCTGCCTCAGCCTCCTGAGTAGCTGGGATTACAGGCAGCTGCCACCATGCCGCGCTAATTTTTTTTGTATTATTAGTAGAGACGGGGTTTCACCATGTTGGCCAGGCTGGTCTCGAGCTCCTGACCTCAAGTGATCCACCCCTGCTCTCCAGCATCCCTAAGTGCTGGCATTACAGGCATGAGCCACCAAACCCAGCTTATTTCTTTTTCTTGACTGTATTGGCTGCAATGAACCTCCAGTACACTGTGAAACAGAAGTGGTGAGAGTAGCCATCTTTGTTTTGTTGCTGGTCTTAGAGAAAAAGCATTCAGTCTTTCACCATTAAATATGATACTACCTACAGTTTTTTCAGAGACATCCTTCACTGGGCTGAAGAATTTCCTTTCTAATCCTAGTTTTCTCAAAGTGACTACCCAGAATGAAGGTTAGATCATCAAATGCTTGCCTCCCCTGCCCCCAATTTTCTGAGATGATCATATAGTTTTTTTTACTTAATGTAGTGAATTACAACGATTGCTTTTTAAATGTTAAACCAACTTTGCATTCCTGAAATAAACCCCAGTTAATTATGATGTATTTTTTAATAAACTGTTACATTCAATTTACTAAAATATGGTTAGAACTTTTGTATGTATGCTCATGTGAGTTATTTCTGTGTAGTCTTCTTACCTCACAACGTCTGTCTAGTTTGAGTAAGAAGGTAATGCTGAGCTCACAAAATAAGTGAGGAAGTACTTCTTCCTCTACAATTTTCTGGAAGTGTTTGTATAGAACTGGTCTTAATTCTTCCTTAAACGTTTAACAGAATTTACTTGTGAAGTCATCTGGGTCTGAAGTTTATTTTGGGTTTTTTTTTGGTGTGGAAATATTGTAATCACAAATTCAATTTCTTTAACAGATACAGGGTTATTTCAGGTTGTATATTCTTCTTGAGTGAAGTTTGGTAGTATGTGTCTGTCAAAAAATTCGTCCAATTCATCTCTGTTTTAAAATGTATAGGCATAAAGTTATTCACAGTATTCCTGTTATCCTTTTATATCTGTAGGCTCTGTAATGATGTCACTTCTGTCTTTCCTGATCTCAATCAGCACAGTTAGAGCTTTATCAATTTTATCGATGTTGCCACAGAACTAATTTTTTTAACTTAAATTAGTTCCATGGCAACATCAATAAAATCAATTTTCATTGATTTTTGTCTAATTAGTAGAAAGTTTAAAAACAATTTCCACACTGATCTTTATCATTTCCTTTACTGTAATTGCTTTCATTTTACATCAAAATCATTTTCATTGATTCTAATGAGTAGAAAGTTAAAAATAATATCCACACTGATCTTTAGTATACCCTTTCCTGTAATTACTTTAATCTGCTCTTCCTCTAATGCCTGAAGGTAGAAATGGAAGTGAATGATTTGAGATCTTTCTTCTTTTCTTATGTAGGCATTCAGGGCTATAAATTCTTTCTGAGTTCTACTTCAATAGTATCCCACAAATTCTTTTTTCTTTATTTATTCTGTTAAGAGACAGGGTCTCACTCTGTTGCCCCAAGCTACAGTGGCATAATCATAGCTCACTGGCCTCAAATTTCTGGGCTCAAGTGATTCTCCTTTCCAGTAGCTAGGACTATAGGGATGTGTCACCATGTCTGGCTAATTTTTTTTAAAAAAATGTTTGTAAAGACAGGGTTTTGCTATGTTGCCCAAGCTGGCCTTGAACTCCTGGCCATAAGTGATCCTCCCACTTCAGACTCCCAAAGTGTTGGGATTACAGGCATGGGCCACCACAACCAGCCCCACAAATTCTGATTTGTTGTTTTCATTTTGATTCAGTTCAAAAGACTTTATAATTTCCCTTTTGATCTCTTCCTTGAACCATAAATTATTTAAAATTGTGTTGTTTAGTTTCCAAAGACCAGATTTTCCCCCATTTTGTTAATAGTTTCAAATTGAATTACACTGTGATCAGATAACATATTTTGAAGGATCTCAACCCTTTTAAATTATTGAGACTTTTTTGTGGACCAAAACATAGTCCATCATGAAAAATGTTCTGTAGACATTTGAGTAAACTGAGAATAATATGTTATTGTTGGGTGGAGATTCTGTAAATGTTAATTAAGTAAAATTGGTTGACAGTATTGTTCAAGTCTACTATATATCCCTATGATTTTCTGTCTGCTTGTTCTATCATTTACTGAGAGAAGAGTAAGTATCCAACACAAATTGTGGATATGACAATTTCTCCCTTGAATACTATCCGTTTTTGTTTCAAGTATTTTGAAATTCTGTTATTAGGGGCATAAATGTTTAGAACTATTACATCCTCTTGATTAACTGCCCTCTTTATCATTTTGTAATGACATCCTTTATCCCTGGAAATACTCTTTGCTTGGGTCTTGTCCAATATTAATATAGCCACATAATGCTCTTTTGACTATTGCGAGCATGGTGTATCTTTTTCCATCCTTTACTTTTAGCCTATTTGTGTCTTAATATTTAAAGTAGGTTTCTTGCAGGCAGGAGATGGTTAACTCTTGTTTTTTTAATCCAATCTCACCATTTCTGCTTCTTCTTCTTTTTTTTTTTTTTTTTTTGACGGAATCTTGCTCTGTTGCCAGGCTGGAGTGCAGCGGCACGATCTCAGCTCACTGCCACCTCTGCCTCCCAGGTTCAAGCAATTCTCCTGCCTCAGCCTCCTGAGTAGCTGGGACTACAGGCGTGCGTCACCATGCCCGGCTAATTTTTGTATTTTTGGTAGAGACAGGGTCTCAACATGTTGGCCAGGATGGTCTCGATCTCCTGACCTCATGATCCTCCCGCCTCGGCCTCCCAAAGTGCTGGGATTACAGGCGTGAGCCACCATGCCCAGCCCATTTCTGCTTCTTAAATGTGTTTAGGTCTTCTAGATTTTATGTGATTATTGATATGGTTAGGTTTAAGTCTATTATATTTTGCTATTTGCTTTACATTTGTCCCTTTTTTTTCTCTTTTTATGCTTTCTTCTGAATAAGTAAGTATAGTTTCTAATTCCATTTTATCTCCTTTGTTGGCTTCTTAGCTACAACTCATTGTTTCACAGGATTGTGTTAGGATTTATAGTATTTAACTTTAACTTACCATGGTCTTCCTTCAGGTGATATACCACTTCATGTACAGTACAGGAACTTTACCAAGAATCACATCTTGTTTCTAGACCTGAGGTATACTATGTCTTTGTCAAAATGGGAGAGAAGCAAGTACTAGAAAAACATAAAAGAAACAGTAACAACAAACTGAGACCTCCTCCTTAGCTTCATTTAAAAAGAAAGAATTGAAAAGGAATTAGATATTTAAAAATTAAAACTCTGTAACTGGACCACCTGGGTTTGAATTCTATTTCTGCCCGTTACATATTGTATAACCTTGGGCAAGTTGGTTAGCCTCTCTGTGCCTCAGTTTCTATATCTTTACAATGAAAGTAACAGAAACATCCAATGAGTTAATACAGGTAAAATGCTTAGAACACCAAGCATCTATTAAATGCTCAGTGTATTATTATTCACACTGTATAAGACAATATTTTCTAACTCCCTATACCTTATCTTGTTTACACAGCTCCCACACAAGGTTACTCTGCTCCAAGTGAATCAGTAAGGAGATTAACTATAGTTAGACTCTTAGTTGCAAAAAAATCAAATTACCTCAAATATCATTACATATATGATACTATTTATTGAACATCTGTTATACGCTTAGCATTGTTCTAAGCTTTCCATGTGTCATTCTCACTTAATCCTCACATCAACCCAGTGAGAAGTATTGTTATGATGCTCATTTTACAGATGAGAAATGAGACAGAGAGTTTAAGCGATTTGCCCAAGGTTGCAGGGGCTGGTAAAAAAGCCAGAATTCTAATGTCAAATGTCTGACACCAAAGCCTACAATCTTTCCTGGGGGTGGGGAGGAATGAATGCAGTCTCAAGAAGGGCAGGAGCCACAGAAGTACTAAAGGAAGAACAGTATCTACAGTGCCAGAAACTAGAATCTTCACTCTCATGTTCCATACCTCTCTCTCAAACCACATGGTTTCTCTCAGAATTTTGCACTTCTCTCAGCACACATGCCCTACTCTTTTATAGTTACCAAATGGCTTCCTCATCTCCTTTATCATTTCTGTAATTCATAGCTTCTGCTTACATCTACTTTCCATTCCCTTAAACTTTAGTTTTACAGGACTCTACACCAACACATCTTTGCAGCTTCAGCTCCCATGGTTCAATGGTAAATTAACTCCATGTTTTCTATAACTGACTATATAAATTTTCCCAGGTGGTTGATGGATTAGCAACCCTTAGGTCAAATGCCCACTGCTGGACCAATCCACTGCAATACAGTTTTATATGGTTAAAAAAATAGCTATTGAGGTCTGTTCTTCTGCAATGTACTGTAGAAAAAGCAGATTTCCTCCAAAGGAACTGTGGGCAAGCCAGAATTATAAATGACATATCTAGGATACTGACTCAGATAAATCACTACTACTCTGGGACTCAAAAGTCTTGCCAGGATTTCTAATCTACTTAGTTATAGTAGTTAAGTAGTTATAAATACAAAATTTGGTTGTTACTAAGGGGATCATATAATTTACAGCATCACACAAGACATGAAATACAGGTCCAGTGATTATTAAGTCAAAGGTTGCCATACTCCATTCAAGAGTACCACAACTGAGGAGGAAAACCCACTATTATCTATTATTTCAAATACCGCTCAGAGTTAGAAGTAGTATCAATGACCCTATTCATCCTTATAGCTATATCTGTTAGGCCATATTGGAATGAAGCAGATGAGGTGGCTAGGTTTGTTGACTTCATTCCTACAGCCAGTTCAGCTGTCCAAACTGTTTAGATAAACAAGTGCAGCACAGATGGCTTCAATTAGTACTGCCTGTTCCCTTAAGTCCAAACCTTCAAAGTGGTTATCTTTAAAAACCTTTTGGCAATGAGTTCTATCTGTCACCTTTTGGATCTCTTGAAGAAAGGAAACAGAGTGACACGCTAAGTTAGTGAATAACAATATGTACTATCATTTCAATTCTAATTTCCCCTGCTTCATTTCTAAGGGCTGAATATTTAGTCCCACCTCATCAAAGGTACTGTATTTCCCGCCACATCCCAAACAAACCCTTCAATCCAAATCGTGCCAACAACACCTAGTTCTGGTTGCCACATCTTGAGTCATGCTGTTTCAACAATCAGTATGTTCTTTCCACATAAATGAAACACATTCCTTAAGGACCACTCCTGTCCTCACTGAGCCTCTTCTTCTGTGACCTGCTAATGCTCTTCAATCTGACACAAAACAACATATTGTTTTATGTTATTTACTGTGGTTTCACATATAAGACTGTCTCTGACCAAGAAGACATGAACAACAATACTTTTATGATAACACTCTCAAGTACTGTGCTTACAAGAAAACATTTAAAAATGCCAGTGGCCAAAATAAGCAAGTCAGAAGCAGAGTTTCTTATCCATAAGATATCCTCAAAATGTTGCTCTTTAAGTAGACTTATTCCTGTCCCTCTAGCTTTAAGAGATAGGATCTAAACTACAAAAACATACAAAAATATATCAGCATATCAAAATTGCAAAAAAAAGAAAAAACTTACTAATCACCCACCTACAAACCCCTAAACTATCTATAAAGATTTCAGCACATACACAAAAGTGTAGCTTAAGAAAAGCAACAGAAAACATACAGATTTGTCATGTAAGCTAATTCCAGAAGGCAAAAAAATGTTCTAGACAAATCCTGGAAATCTAAATCAGGACTGGAAGAGGTATAACGAATAATTTACTCCAGTAACCCTAGAGATCTAGAATAACCACAGATGCAACAGAATCTGGGCTATAATTACACTTGATCTTCAAAATTCTGAAAGAAAGAGTAAAAGAAATCCTTACAATGATCCTATGAGAAGGCACTATTATACCCAATTACAAATAAAAAAGCTGAATGTTAAACAAATTAAGTAACTTGCCCAGATTCATACAGACTTTCATCAAAGAATTATAACCATTGTCTATCCTTAAAAAATTTATTTAATTTTAGCTTAGTAAATTATATGGCTGATCCCAAAAACATGTAGATACTTATTAGAAATTTAAGGAAACATAAAATTGAAATTTAGTTTTGACATTCACATTCCTTTCAATGCAAATTTAAGATATACAACTATTAGCCGACGGCAGTGGCTCACACCTGTAATCCTAGCACTTTGGGAGGCCAAGGCGGGTGGACTGCCTAAGCTCAGGAGTTCGAGACCAGCCTGGGCAACATGGTGAAACTCTGTCTCTACTAAAACACAAAAAATCAGCCAGGCATGGTGGCATGTGCCTGTAATCCCAGCTATTTGGGAGGCTGAGACAGGAGAGTACCTTGAACCTGGGAGGTGGATGTTGCAGTGAGCTAAGATCGTGCCACTGCACTCCAGCCTGGGCGACAGAGTGAGACTCTAACTCAAAAAAAAAAAAAAAAAAAAAAAGATATCCATCTATTAGAAAATAAAACTGATAATTTTTGACTAGACCTAACCAAAATCTATAGCCATATTGTGTTCCTAGCCAGCACATTTGAGCATATCACTACTTGTTCAAAAATCATTATTGTGGTCAAGCGTGGTGGCTCATGCTGTAATCCCAGCACTTTGGGAGTCTGAGGCAAGAGGATTACTTGAGCCCAGGAGTTTGAAACAAGCCTAGGCAACAAAGTAGAGACTATGTCTCTACAAAAAAACAAAAAAATTAGCCAGGGGTGGTGGTGTGCACCCGTAGTCCCACCTACTTGGGAGGCTGAGGCAGGAGGATCACTTAAGTCTGGGAGGTCAAGGCTGCAGTGAGCTGTGATCATGCCATTGGAATCCAGTCTGGGTGAGAGAGTGAGACCCTATCTCAAAAGGAAAAAAAATCATTAATGTCATTTAACTTTTTGACAATTGTTTAACCATTTGGGTAAAAAGACAAAAATTAGATCTTACATTAAAATAAGATGAATTAAAAATGAAAAATATTTAAGCCATAAAAATACTAGAAGTAAACATAGGTGAATTTTAAAATATATTCTGACATAGGAAAGGCTATCTAGGACTCACAGTAGAAACAGAAACAAAAGAAGAGATTGATCATCTGATTAAAGGTGGCGCTGGCCAGGTGCGGTGGCTCATGCCTGTAATCCCAGCACTTTGGGAAGCCGAGGCAGGTGGATCACGAGGTCAGGAGTTCAAGACCAGCCTGGCCAAGATGGTGAAACCCCGTCTCTACTAAAAATACAAAAAAATTAGCCAGGCGTGGTGGCAGGCGCCTGTAATCCCAGCTACTCGCGAGGCTGAGGCAGAGAATTGCTTGAACCTGGGAGGCAGAGGTTGCAGTGAGCCAAGATCATGCCACCGGCACTTCAGCCTGGGCGACAGAGCAAGACTTCATCTCAAAAAGAAAAAAGGCGCAAGACAGTGAAATACATGTATTTCATCAATTCTTAGATGTGCATTTTCTTACCTTTTAAAATCTCTGAAATTAAGATGCCTCTTAAATTCGAATGCCATATTCTTATTTTTAGATGTACATAAATAGTGCATCTTGCAACTGAAGCCATTTTAGATTCAATGAAATACAGTAAGTTGGGTAACAAAAGATAAAACAAGGAAAAGTAAAACAAGAGACAAAGAGTTAATATTTTTAATACATAAAGACTTCTTACACATTAATGTGAACTAGTAGGGTGCTTCAACTGCATTGGTTAATTTCTTAAGTTAGGGATTAACTGTATTAGTCTTCATATGCTTTTTGTTTTTTAAGACAGGGGTGTCCTTCTGTTGCCCAGGCTGGAGTGCAGTGGCTCGATCATGGCCACTGCAGCCTTGACCTCCCGGACTCCAATTCTCCAGCCTCAGCCTCCTGAGTAGCTGGGACTACAGGCACACACCACCATACCTGGCTAATTTTTTGCATTTTTTTGTAGAGACAGGGTTTCACCACATTGCCCAGGCTGGGTCTTAAACTCCTGGGCTCAAGCAATCCGCCCACCTTGGCCTCCCAAAGTGCTGAGATTACAGGTGTGAGCCACCGCACCTGACTCTATACACTTTTTTGTATAACTATTTCATTAAAAGACTTAAAAGATTGAGCAAAAAGAATGGGTAGGATGTGAAGAGAAAATTGGAGAAAGTAGTATAATATCACACATATGAAAACAGTACTTTCATTGAAAACGTTTAAAATGCAAATTAAGGCTGGGTGTAGTGGCTCACATCTTTAATCCCAGCACTTTTGGGAGGCCGAGGTGGCTGGATCACTTGAGGTCAGGAGTTCAAGACCAGCCTGGCCAACATGGTGAAGCTCTGACTCTACTGAAAATACAAGAATTAGCCAGGCATGGTGGTAGGCACCTGTAATCTCAGCTACTTGAGAAGCTGAGGCAGGAGAATCTTGAACCCAGGAGGCGGAGGCTGCAGTGAGCCGAGATCACCACTGCACTCCAGGCTGGGCGACACAGTGAGACTCTGTCTCAGAAAAAAAAAAAAAAAACAACCCACAAATTAAAACACAGAGCACTTATTACATAACACATCAACATATATACGTTTTTAAAGCTAACTGCCAAGTGATTAAGGGCATAGAGAAACAAACATGTACACCATAAGCGAGTATGCAAACATACTTAACCTCCAAATAACTCCCTTTTTAGGAATTCATCAAAAGGAAATTATGTAAGTACAGGAAGAGCTATAAAAAAAGATGTTAACTCTATCACTGTTATACTATCTAAAAGAAACAACCTAAATGCTCAAGAGTTTAAATAATGATACATTCACACAATACAATGCTACCATTAAAAATGATAGTAGAAACTATCTTTGAATGCAATACAATTATCCCCAGAAATATACAAATACTTTTAAATAAGTACAATAATTTTTTTGCTTATTTTTATTTTTTATGGTTTCATTTTTTACTTTTGAGATACATGTACAAATATAATGTACATATATCTAAGGTATTCTGTGTGATGAATTTTACAATGTAGACACCCATGTAACCACCAATCAAATATGGTGAAATCCCATCACTAAAAAAAAAAAAAAAAAAAAAGAATACAAAAATTAGCTGGGCATGGTGGCACGTGCCTGTAATCCCAGCTACTTGGGAGGCTGAGGCAGGAGAACTGCTTGAAGCAGGACCTGGGAGGCAGAGGTTGCAGTGAGCTGAGATCACGCCACTGCACTCCAGCCTGGGCTACAGCATCAAAAAAAAAAAAAAAAGAAAAGAAAAAGAAAATATAGACATTTCTAGCACTCTAGAAGGTCCCTCTTTGTTGTTCCTCTTACCTTTCCAGCCCCAACTCCTAAACACCATGCTCATGCTTCTATCACCATACATGAGTTTGACCTTGCCCTAAACTTTATGTAAATGAAGTCATGGAGTATGACTTCATGGAGTACGTACTCTTTTGTGTCTGGTTTCTTTTGCTCACCATTTTATCTGTGATAGTCACCCATGTTTGCTGAGTATAGCTATAGTTCATTCTTTTCCAGTACTGTACAGTGTTATACTATAAGGCTATACCACAAATTATTTATCCCCTTTTTTTGTTGTTGTTGACAGACATTTGGGTTGTTTCCAGCTGGAAGTGATCACGAAGCTGCTATGGACATGCCCTGTTTGCTATGGTTTTGGCGGTTTCATAACTTATTTTTATTTTATTGCCTCTTAATATCATTTTAACTACTTCTATTATAAAATAAAAAAGATCAAACAACCAGAAAATAATAAAGAAAAAAAGATCTGCTATCCCACCACACAAACTACTCAACATTTTTAACATTTATAGTTCACATAACTGAGATCTTGCTATACATGCTATCCTTTTTCTAAATCAACACCTTTAGTTATTTTTTCCCTTTTTTCTCTCCCTCTCCCTATTTTAGACCAACAAGAAAACAAACATTTACATTTAGTGTGCAACATTTTCCACCTTACAGAATCATCGAAACACATACAGACATAAAGGTTTCGGAGTTGTTTGCTTCATACAAATACTTGGTATATCCCTCTGCATCTTGCTCTTCTCAAATATTATGGCAACACTGTCACATCACTGATTATTTTTCCTATCTTTAACAGCTTTACTGAGATATAATTCACATACCATACAATTCACCCATTTAAAATGTACAAGTCAATGGTTTATAGCATATTCACAGAGGTACAACCATCAACACGGTCAATTTTAGAACATTTTCATCATCTCAGAAAGAAATCCATACCCTTTAGCTACCACCCCCTTACCCCTGCTACTGGCCTAAGCCACTTATCTGTTTTCTACCTCTATCTGCTGTTCTAGGAGAGGAACTGCTGGGTCGTATGGTAATGCTACGTTAAATTATTTGAAGAAGTGCCACATGGTCTTCCAAAGAAGCCACATCCATTTACATTCCCACAAGTGTATGAGGATCCCAATTTCTTAACATCCTTGCCTACACTTATTATCTAACTTTTTCATTCAAGTCATCCTAGTGGTGTGAAGCGGTATCTCACTGCGGTTTTGATTTCATTTTCCTGATAGCTAATAATGTCGAGCATGTTTTCATGTGCTTATTGGCCACTTGTTTATCTTTGAGAAATTTCTATTCAGCTCCTTTGCCTGTTTTTAAATTGAGTTGTCTTTTTATTATTGAGTTATAGGAGTGTTTATACATTCTGACTACAAGTTTCTTGTTAGATATGACTTGCAAATATTTTCTCCAATTCTGTGTATTGTCTTTTCACATTCTTGATGGCATCCTTTGAAGCACAAAAAATTTAATTTTTAAGTTCAATTTACCTCTTGCTTGTTTTGTTGCTCCTGCTTTTGGTGTCACTTTGTGTCATACGTAAGAATCCTTTACCTATTCCAAGGTCATAAAGATTTACCCCTATGTTTTCTTCTAATGTACATGTCCTCTGATGCACACATATACTGATTTCTATCAGGTCTATCCCCAGACATGAAACTGGTGGATCACAGAGCATATACAGATACAGTTTTAGGCAAATGCTGCCAAAGAATTTTCCAAAGTGGCTGTACCAATTTTCAAACCCACTTGAAATGTATAAGGGTTCCAAATGCTCTACATTCTTGCCAACACTTTGTATTTCAGATTTTTTAACTAACACCATTCTGGTGGGTATGCAGTGGCATCACATTGTAGTTTTAATTTGCGGTTTTCTAAAAATTATGTATCAGTACTTTTTAACCTTGGCCATCTGAACAATTCATTTTCTGAATACCTGTTCTAGTCTTTTGTCCATTTGTTTTAAAACTGGGTTGCCTGATTCTTTTGCATTGGTTTGCATACTTTTAAATATACTCTATATATAAGTCCTCTGACAGATATAAGTATTGCAAACACCTTTTCCAGTGTGTTACTTGCCTTTTCCTTCTCTTAATAGTATTGTTTAATGAGTAGATGTTCTTATTTAATGAAATACAGTCTTTTCTTTTCTGGTTAGTACTTTTTGCATCCTGGTTTAAAAAGCCTTTGCCTCCAACAGGGTCATACAGATATTTTTCCATGTTTTGTTTTAGAAACTTTCATATTAAATCTATAGTTCCTTCAAGGAACAAAGAATCCCTACGTTACAGAATTATTTCTGATAATGGGGGAAAAAAAAGAAAGCTTTACAACTGATTTCATGAAGTCAGCGAAACTTTGAATTCAAAATATACCCATGTAAACCTCACTGATAAATGTAGATCTTAAAGAACTCTAAGACACCAGCAAGTCAAATTCAGCCGTGTGGGTGAAAAAATGCACCACAGCTAAATAGGGTTTAACTCAGGAATGCAAAGATGGTTCAACAGGAGATAATCTATTAATGTAATACATCCTATTAACAGATTAATGGAAAAGATGATCTCTACCTGCAAAGAAAAAGCACTTGATGAATTCAACATTTTATGTTTAAAAAAAAAAAAAAACTTAGAAAACTAGTATGACAAAGCATTTCTTAATCATATCTACCAAAAGTCTTAAGTTATTTATCAAAACCAATAGTAAGGCATTATAATTAATGATGAAATATTAAAGGTACTCCTATTAAAATCAGGAACATGGCCGAGTGTGGTGGCTCACGCCTGTAATCCCAGCACTTTGGGAGGCCAAGATGGGCAGATCACGAGGTCAGGAGATCTGAGACCATCCTGGCTAACATGGTGAAACCCTGTCTCTACTAAAAAAACAAAAAATTAGCCGGATGTGGTGGCACGCAACTGTAGTCCCAGCTACTTGGGAGGCTGAGGCAGGAGAACCACCTGAACCCAGGAGATGGAAGTTGCAGTGAGCCGAGATCGCGCCACTGCACTCCAGCCTAGGCGACAGAGTGAGACTCTGTCTCAAATAAATAAATAAATAAATAAAATAAATCAGGAACATAAAATTCAGAACCATGTATCTCAAGTGAGCCCTTACTGCTGCCTGGCAATCATACTCTCCCTCTTCTATTCACTTTTTTACTCTTTGACAAGTGACTATGTCATGTATTATTCCTTCTCAAACCTCTAATACATATTCCCATTCTTCCTTACTCTCAGATGATGAGCTTGGCCTCTATACACAAAGGTAAATTGAAACACTCATGAGAACGTTCTCAAGCTACCACCATCATGTGTCTATCCATATACTTTGTCTTCTCTCCTATTTCTATAGTAACTCTCCCTACTCCTGGTGAAGCAAAGGCTAATCCTTCTGCTTGTATAAGATCAGGTGTCAGCAAACCACAGTCCCACACTGCTTATGCTTGATTTCACTAGACAACAGCAAAGCTGAGTAGCAGTAATGGATTGTATTGCCCAAAATGCCTAAAATACTACCTAACCTTCAAAGAAAAAGTCTGCTGACCTCTAAACTAGATCATATCTCCTCTCCATATAATCATGGACACTGCTGGTTGAAAGCGCCCACTAAATTCAGTGTAGAAGAAATAAAGTAAAGTCAATACAAGATACATAAAATATCAGGGACATAGCAGATATACTGAAGACAAAAGATCGTAGGGCCAGGTCACATATGAAGGATGAAGATTTTGAATGGCATAAGACTTTTCAACAACCACTTCAAACTAGAAAATCAGGCCAGGCACAGTGGCTCACACCTGTAATCCCAGCACTCTGAGAGGCCGAGGTAGGCGGATCACTTGAGGTCAGGAGTTTGAGACTGGTCTGGCCAACATGGTGAAACACCATCTCTACCAAAAATACAAAAATTAGCTGGGTGTGGTGGCGCATGCTTGTAATCCCAGCTACTTAGGAGGCTGAGGCAGGAGGATCACTTGAACCCAGGAGGTGGAGGGTGCACTGAGCCAAGATCATATCACTGCTCTCCAGCCTGGGGGACAGAGGAGACTCTGTCTCAAAAAAAAAAAAAAAAAAAAAAAAAAAAACCAAAACAACTAGAAAAGTATAATCATCTGCTAAATTTGAAGATGATTTTTACCTTGGAATTCTATACCTATCCCTGCCATATTATCAACCAGGTGTCAAGGTAGAAGGAAAATATTTTCAGCAATACACACATCTCACAAATTTTACCTCTTCATATACTCTTTCTTGAAAGTTACCAAAGGATGCATTTCACCAAAACAAAGGAGTAAATCAAGAAAGCGGAGGATATGGATCCAGAGATCACAGGAAAATGGCAAAAAGAATTCTCAGAATCAGCCAGGCGCAGTGGCTCACGCCTATAATCCCAGCACTCTGGGAGCCTGAGGTGGGCGAATCACTTGAGGTTGGGTCGAGACCAGCCTGACCAACATGGAGAAACCCCGTCTCTCCTAAAAATACAAAATTAGCTGGGTGTGGTGGCACATGCCTGTAATCCCAGCTACTTGGGAGGCTGAGGCAGGAGAATCGCTTAAACCCGGGAAGCAGAGGTTGTGGTGAGCCGAGATCACGCCATTGCACTCCAGCCTGGGCAACAAGAGCAAAACTCTTGTCTCAAAAAAAAAAACAAAAAAAAAAACAGAATTCTCAGAATCATGATGAAGGGAAGTCACAATTATAGCTACACAGCATAAGTGGAAGGCAAAAGTGCAGATTTGAGCAAGAAGATAGTTCAAGAAGAATTTTCATTTTTTTTTTTTAAAACTGAAGGGTCAATTACCTGATGTTTGATGATATTGGGACAGTTTGTAGAAAAAAAAATTAGAGACAAATAGGAAACTAAGAAATAAAAAGAAATCAACTCCAAGAAATATAATCATAGTACACTGTAAGGTTCCACTGTAAACATATTTACAAACTCATAATAATGTAAACAACGAATGCTGATTTAATCAAAAGCATGACTATATTGGGAAGACATGGGAAAGAAATTTCAAGGTGGCATAAGAATCCTAAAGCATAGACTCATCTACCACAGAAGAAAGCCAACAGACAACAGCTAAAATTGAAAAACAGGAAAACTGAAAAACAGGGCCAGGCATGGTGGCTCACACCTGTAATCTCAGCACTTAGGGAGGCCAGGGAGAACGGGTGGATCACTTGAGGTCAGGAGTTCACAGCCTGGCCAACATGGTGAAAACCCGTCTCTACTACAAATACAAAAATTAGTCAGGCATGGTGGCACATGCCTGTAACCCCAGCTACCTGGGAAGCTGAGGCAGGAGAATCAGTTGAACCCAAGAGGTGGAGGCTGCAATGAGCCAAGATCGCACCACTGCACTTCAGCCTGGGCGATAGAGCAATACTCTGTCTCAAAAAATAAATAAATAAATAATAAAACTGAAAAACAAACAGTAAAAGTATATAATTTTTAAATATGTAAATAAATAGAAGAAACACCTATGGTTGCTCTGAAAGCAGGACACAGGAGGGAAAGTCATAAAGACATGAGGCAGAGGACCGGAGTTTTAATTACAGGTTATCTGAGTACCTGGCTTGGGGCCAGAAAAATTCAGATTTCAAATTTTGTTGAATTTCAGATTTTGTCAGATTTTGGAAGACTTGCATTGCCAGTTGGGCATCCCAAATCCAAATATTTAAAACTCAAACTGCTCCAATGAACATTTTCTTTGAGAGTCATGCTGGCACTCAAAAAGTTTAATATTTTGGAGCATTTTGGATTTCAGATTTTCAGATTTGGGATGCTCAACCTGTATAACCCTTGTAGTACAATTTTCTTTTTAACTGCACAGCTGTATAAATCAAATATTAATCTTTTTTTAAAAAAGGAACAAAACCAGGGGTCCTTTGATCACTTAATAACAATACCCCACAAATATCTGAGCATCACTACGTGTCAGATACTTTTCTAGGTGCTAGGAAGAGAACAGTGTACAAAATAAGCCCTTGTCCTCATGAAGCTTACAATCAGAGAGGGAGGCAGATAATAAACTAATGTACGTTTTAATGTCAGATAAACCAATGATGTAAAAATAAATAAATAAAGCAAGGCAAAGGCACAGAGTATGATGGGGGATGCTATTTAATAAGGTTTTCAGAAAACACTTCTGCAAGAACAACAAAAGGAAATCAAACTAAAGAAAATCTGTTCTGAAAAAAAAGGTCATGTAAGTGAAATAACAGAAAACTATCAATTAAATTCAAGATGAGAGATTCAAGTCTTTCACACTCCAAAGCAATGTATTATTCAAAAGCCAGTACCAAAAGTTTCTCTGTAATGAAATAAACGGCCAAGCTTCCTCAAGCTAAGTCATATGAACACTGCTATATCCATATAACTGTATGTATATATAGATCCTTCCCATATCCCTAACTAGCTACTTAGTAAAGTGACTATGTAAATTTATATTCAAACTTTTTTCTTTCCATAGAATAGGTAAATGTAACACATTTTAAATTCCAGTGTTTTATTTCTATTATGTAGTTAAAAGTTTTCCTAAATCAAAAGCTCAAGACATTAAACCAAAAAAGATTCCAGATTAATTCCACGTTACTAAAATTTATCACAATCTTTATTCTCTCACTAAAAAGGATTCAATAGGAAATTTAAGACACATTTAAAGAAACAATTTACAGGGTAATGCAATACATTCATTTTCCTCTCCAAGGAACTTCACTCAGGCTGGGGTAGTTTCAAGCTATTTGAATTATCTTTCATTGAAAATTAACTTAAAAAAAAGTATTCATATTAAAGTGACAATTTTATTCCAAATACAGTCGTTACACAATAAATATCTCATATTCAAAAAATGGATACACTTCAATATCTTATTCTCAAACTGTGTATCATTAAAATTAAAAGTAAACCCAAACTATGTGCCTATTTTACATAGCAAAAAAAAAAAAAAAAGCATACTTTCGGAGAAAATGGGTTTAAAGTTTAACTCACAAAAGAAAACAAATTTGATTCAATAAATTTCAATTAATAGTTTGGTTTATGGTTTAAAAGTTATTTAAAAATTTCTGAAAAAGCAGATTATCAAGGAATTGGTTCACTCACAGTCAGCCAGAAATAAAAAGGTGATATTTTAAAATTTTAGACCAAAAAAGAAATTTAGATTCCCTTATAAATAAATGCCGAGAGAATATTTTCAGCAAACATTCATTTAACTACATAAACCAAAAGAATAAGGCTGTCTAACCACATGTAAACTACGCATCATCTGACTTCAGGTAGAATGTTTATCTTTGGTATACTTGGTAACCAGAAACCCAAAGTATATAAACATAGGCATATTCTAAAAACAATTGTCTTAATGTTTTTGTTCGCTAGGCAATAATTCCCACAATTCTCAGAAAGAAAAAAACAATATCCTTAACCAAAAAGTTATCAGAGGAGTTTCTACTTCTTAAACTTTTAAACAAACATATTTGCCCACTTATCATTTAAGCCCCATCAGGGCTTAAATGATAAGCCCTGTTGTGTCTCCCCTGTTGTGTCCCCAACCTCTAGGGAACTAACTGGCACCAAGTAGGTACCCAATACACATGTGCAGAATGAACTGAGTCTCTGGAAAAAGCTTAAGTGTTTTAAGTTGCAACAGGACAATTTCACCTATATATCCATCATTCACTACACTGAACTCTAATGACGTAATAAAAAGACTCGTACCAGGTATTTAAAAACACACACAAAAATATATTACTCACATATGTATCTGACTCACAAAGCCAGTTTTTCAGTTATGTTTTCTCTCAGGAAAATTTGTTGTATTCTTTCTAGTATTACTAATAAATATTAGAAAAGCACGTTGTGTTCTGCCAATGCAAGCATTATCTTCAAACTTACGTTGCAATCTGAAAAAATTTAGGCAAACTAAACAGTATTTCCAGAGTCCTGCCCCAAAGTATTACTAAAAGTCAAATTCCTTAATTCAATGAAAAGTGAAATAACGCACAGTGGCGCATGCCTGTAGTCCCAGCTTCTTGGGAGCCTGACACGGGAGGATCGCTTGAGCTCAGGAGTCTGAGACCAGCCTGAGCCAAATAAGGAGAACCTATCTTAAAAGGAAAAAAAAAAAAGTGGAATATAATGGGAAAAACGCACATCTTACCGTTCAAAAATTATGCTGAATTTTAAAAAGAAAAAATGAACTACGCTTAAAATAAATACACTGAAATTGTTTATCCCAAATGGCATTAATGCCCTTACATTTTGATATTTAGATCTGCCTCAAAAGACCTTTGAAGCTACATGATAAACTTCATGCCTACAAAGCTTGAGTTAGAGGTTATCTTTGTTAAAATAATACTGTTTGGATGCTCAGTTTTGGAAGTTTCCTCATAATTCTAAATTAAGATATTTAGCCGTAAGAGTAATACACTTATGTGTATGATTCTATAGCACTTGTTCTATAGCACTTGTACAAGCATAATGATCTTGAGTGGAACAGGCTTTATAATGAGCAAGCTATGATCTGTCTAACAGCGATACTCTGCAAACACGGGCTGAAAAGTTTCCTAAAATTCTGATGGTCATCTTCAAAGAAACTTGAACAGGAATCGATCTAATGGTGGACACAGAAAAATACCCAAGTCAACTCATGAACACTGGTAAGAAAAGGCTCTCTATAGCAACTAAAGTGTTGGGGAAAAAAAATCCAGGGAGCATAAACGATAAAGCTCAATTAACTGCTGCTTGTGTGATTCCACTTTATGGTCTTAAATACACAGTAGGCATTAGATATTTCTTTTGGGGTTTTTTTTTTTTAACAGAAATTTAGTATTTCAATTGCCCCTCCTCCACAGCTAACATCAGTGCCCTTTCTTCCTCCTCCCTTACCCCTCCCAACTCAAACAAATTAACATTTGTACTAGGTACCTCCTATCAGCTCGCAGCTTCTTCCCAAACACGCCCACGTACACTGAAACTGGCTTGCGTCTACACAACACACAGCTACAGGAAAAGAGCTTCGAGGGGGGAGCTGGGGCGGGGGGTTAATAATTCGCTCCGCACAGGTTTACGGCTATTTTCCAGAAACTAGTTCCTCGCTCGTGGCTCGCGTTTCTTCCAAATCACCTCAAAAGCACGGTGTTTATGAGCCTACCTAATCCGATACTGCAATGGAATTCCGGATATTTGCAGACAGATCTCCCGGCTTTGCAAGTGTTTGATGAGATACGTTCGGAATCTCCTTTTTTTTCTAGAGCCCGGTTCCAGGCCGTAGAGCAAGCCGACCTGGGGCTGCGGCCCCTGCCCCACACCCGGCCCGCGCGCCCGGCCCGAGGCCAGCACAGGACGCAGCCCCTCCGGGGCCGGGGCTGGCGGGGGCCGCTCGGGCTGCGGGCCGCTCTGCAACAGGTCACCCTGACCGCGACTCCGCGGGTTCGCGGGCGGCCAACTCTGCGGCCAGGCTTCTGGGCGCAGCCGCCAGGGCCAGGGGAGGGGGTGTGGCCCGGCTTCTGCTGGTCCTGGCTCCGAGGTCCGGGATCGGGCTCACCTGAAGGAAGACTGAGGCGCCGCTGGGCGCCAGAACAGAGCGGGCGGAGGCTGGGGGCTTCCGCCACCCAAGAGGGAGAGCGAGGCGGGTTCAAGGGGTCGCAGCGCCCCCGGCTTCAGGACGGCGCCCCCGAGCGGGGACCCCACGGCCGCTCCGACTCTGAGAACCCGCGGCCGAGGGAGGCGCGCCGCCCAGCGCCCTTCTCCCTCAGCCTCAGCCCCAGCTCCGCAGCCCCCTCCCTGCGCGCAGGGCGAGCAGCCCCGGGGCCCGCGGCCGGGAGAGCCACACTCCGCAGCGCCGCCGCCGCCATTCCCCGCGCCGCCCGGGGGGCGCCGCGTACCCACCCTCCCTCCCTCCCTCCCCCGCACCGCCCCGCGGCCTGAGCCCACCGACCTGTGCAGCCGCGGCCGTCGCCTCAGAGGACGGAAAGACGATGCCGGCCTCACGCTTCACCGCCACGGCCGCCGCCGCCTAGAGTAGCACTCGTCGACCCGAACAGTCACCGTCTCTCATTCAGCGCCCGCAGCAGCCGCCGCCGCCGCCGCCGCTGCCGCTCGGGGGAGGAGAGTGAGCTGGAACCACCCCGTCCGCGCCAGGGGTGGGGGACGAGAGCGGACCTGGCGGGGGCGCGCGCCAAGCGGGCGGGGCGGAGCCGCGCGCGCGCGCGCACCAACGGAGCGCGCTCGCGGGGGCTCTGAGAGCTGCAGCCGTCAGGGTCTTAACCTCGCGCTTCCCGCCCGCAGCTTTTCGGCCCCGCGGAGCCCAACTGCCGCCGGTGATCGGTGCCCGCAGCGCGCGCAGCCATCCGCAACCCCACCGCCCGGCGCCTGCTGAAAGGAGGGGCTCCCACCGGCCAAACAACGGGGGGGGGAAGGGGTAGGAGGATGGACAGGTGGGGCGTCCGCCACCGCCTGGCCACCCGCTCCCGGAACGCGGCCCTCTGTGAAATCCGCCGTGATGTCTGTGGCCTTCAGCGCCGGGCTCTTCACCTTTAAGGCCAGAGAACAAAGTCTGGAAGCACTTGGCCCCAAGATCAAATATCCAGCCCACGCCAGCGGTGTTTTTAGAAGTCACTGAGGACAAATGAGGGGGCTCCCAATGTGGAGAGTCACCCCACTGTCTTAGATAAGGTCATAAATTATGGTGATCAACATCCTCACACATTAAGATTCGGGAAGTGTTAGAAGTAGGCCTTTGTAAGATGTTACGCAGGGTACTACCCTTGACTTAAGGAGCAAATGACAGAAATTGGGCGGAAAGGTGTTGTTTCAGAGTCTACTAAATGGGTGGCCTACTTAAAGCTAGCACCATTTGATGCAGTGTGACTGTTAACGGAAGGTTTTAAGTGAGCCGCCTTTGTATCTGCTGTCATTAGACCATTTGGAAATGGATAATTATTTGATGATCTGCAGTTCTTTCTCTAGGCAATGTGCAGTAGAATGTGGAAAGAATACTATGTACCAGCATTAAGTGTAAAACATGAAAGGACCAATAATTCACTATTCCCATTTGGTTTCTTTCTTCCCTTTAATAACCGCTAAACAGAACTGATTAATCTTGAACGTTGAAGATTGCTAATTATTTCCTCCTTTGATTGCCTTCTGTCATAGCCCTTTTACTCTAGTTGGGGACGCTAGAATGCCCTTCAACCTCCTTCTCTCAAATAGGGTTACTTTAAAGCACCCCAACGCAAAGTTAAGTCAAAAAGAAAAACAGCGAGGATAGGCAACAAAGTTCGTAGTGTTTCATTTTTATTCCATTTTACTTTCAAAGAAAGTCTTGAATCATGACGAAATCACTAGAAGAAGTAGAGCAATCAAAAGAAGAAAAAAAGCGTTCCCCCCCACCCAATATTTCAAATGACAAGAGTCCAAAAAAGAAAAGAAAAAGGAAGATGATTGGTAAAAAGGAGGGAAGTGCATTATGTATACAGAAAGTTTTCGCATAGATGTTAGTTGCTTCAAGTCCCAAATAAACAACAACTAAATGAATTAGCACTTGGAGGAAAAACCCCTTCCAGTTATTGAGTTGGGTAAATGTTTAGTCTTCTTAAAGTGTTACTAAGAGATTAAGGAAAATGTCGTTGGCTATATGCCAACAATAATACATGCAACATACATACCATTATCACACATAATTAACTGCTCTTAAGAAATATGAAAACTGAGGAACGGAACTCTTATGTTGTTAAATGTCATACAATTACTTGAAACTTGAATTAGGGTTTCATAGATATAAATGAGGCAGGGTCCCTACATCTGCCAATAATTTTCACAGCTTATTGTAAAAGCAGTGAAGTTTTCACTTGGACTTTGAAAAGAAAAAAACATATGACTCATGAGCAAGGCCATGGATACACTAAATTCTTATGCCTACTGAATTTGAGTTTGAATAATTACCCCAAATCTGTTTCTCACATTGATAACTTATAAAACAATACTTTTATTAACCTTAAGAGTTGTGTTAAGTTCAAATTTGTGAACTTGGTAAGATTAAGAATTTGTATATAGGCCGGGCGTGGTGGCTCACACTTGTAATCCCAACACTTTGGGAGGCTGAGGCAGGCAGATCACCTGAGGTCAGGAGTGCAAGACCAGCCTGACCAACATGGTGAAGCTGGTCGCTACTAAAAATACAAAAAAATTAGCCGGGCGTGGTTGTGGGCACCTGTAATTCCAGCTACTCAGGAGGCTGAGGCTGGGGAATCACTTGAACCCAGGAGGCAGTGGTTGCAGTGAGCCAAGATCGCACCACTGCACTCCAGCCTGGGCGACAGAGGGAGATACTATCTCAAAAGAAAAAAAGAATTTGTATATAAAAATAGAGAAAAAAGTTTGTCCTCAATATCTTTTATAAAATAAGTGTCCCTTCCCATTCCTTGATAAATGAAAGCAGTGGCTTTTTATACCAAATTTTCTTTACCAGAGCACTTTTATCACAATTAAATTCTGTATGTTGCTTTATGGATTCCAATTGCTTTTGCCAAAATACAAGAAATATGCAAAGTCTTAGTATAACAAAAAGTACTAATGTATAAAATAGAAATGCCATTATATGAAATAGAAATCGATAAGAATTCAATATGCTTAAAAGTCATTTCAGAGGAATCACCATTATGTAATAGTTTTATTACTATCCATCCAAATTATTTCCAAGGGGCAAGCCAAGGAACTAATTTAGATATAGAACAAACAGTTCAAAGAGACCACCACTGCAGTAAACCAATCAACAAGCAACACAATTCATTACAGCTGTCAAAACAAAATCAAACTGGCATGGTAAGAAAGCTTATTTTTTCAGTAATACTTAATTCTATTACAACCAAAAGAATTTCAGTAATAACATATACCTTTGTTATTTCTCTAACCTTTCATCTCTTTTTTCAAATGTATATAGTGGCTGGACATTTTGAAGAAATTTGTTGGTTGTGTTTACGATGTCACAATTTAAAATAAAGGCAAAGTTAGCATTCCCAAAATTCACCTTGAGGGAAAGGACGCATAAGGGAACTTCCAAGGGCTAGACAGACATTCTCCAGAAAACTGACACTATGGTACAAGGAGAGCCTGCCGTAATTCCCAATCGACAGAGATATGTCACAAGTCTTCAGATACCAAAACAAAGATAATCAACAGTCCGTTCAAATCTGAGCACCATATTAATTTTACAGTTACATTTACAGTTAAGCTGCATCTCAAAGGGGCAACTCTATGTAGGGTGTTAAGCAGCAGGGATTTATTTGCTTAATGATGGTTAATGTTTTCCTAGACTAATTCTTCAAAAGGCCGGAAAGTATATAAATGTTTGCATACACTAATGCTTTTCAATATTAATTTTAAAGATAGTTTTAGTAGGGCCGGCACAGTGGCTCAGGCCTGTAATCCCAGCACTTTGGTAGGCCAAGGCTGGCGGATCACGAGGTCAGGAGATCGAGACCATCCTGGGTAACACGGTGAAACCCTGTCTCTACTAAAAATACCAAAAAAATTAAAAAATTAACTGGGCGTGGTGGGGGGGCGCCTGTAGTCCCAGTTACTCAGGAGGCTGAGGCAGGAGAATCGCTTGAACCTGTAAGGCGGAGCTTGCAGTGAGCCAAGATCATGCCACTGCACTCCAGCCTAGGCGACAGAGCAAGACTCCGTCTCATAAAAAAAAAAAAAAATAGTTTTAGTAATGACTTGTTTATCTGACAGTATTAGGAAAGGGGGCAGTAAAGGATTAGATATAATTAGATATTCTAAATAACTGAGATTTTCATCTTGAAGTACTAGAAACAATTTAAACCACTTTTATTTATTTTTCCTGAAATATCACCAACTCCGTCTTAAACTAATAAAACACAGCACAGTTGTCTTGGTATCCACAGGAACTTCCGGGATACCCAAATCTGTGGATGTTCAAGTCCCTGATATAAAATGGCAGAGTAGGTCACGCATGTAATCCCAGCACTTTGGGAGGCCGAGGTGGGTGGATCACGAGGTCAAGAGATCAAGACCATCCTGGCCAACATGGTGAAACTCCATCTCTACTAAAAATACAAAAATTAGCTGGGCGTGGTGGCGGGCACCTGTAGTCCCAGCTACTGGGGAGGCTGAGACAGGAGAATCGCTTGAACCCAGGAGGCAGAGGTTGCAGTGAGCTGAGATCGCACCACTGCACTCCAGCCTGGCAACAGAGCGAGACTCCGTCTCAAAAAAATAAATAAATAAAATGGCAGAGTATTTGCACATCACCTATGCACATCCTCCCCTATATTTCAAATCATCTTTAGATTACTTATAATCTCTGATACAATGTAAATGCTATGTAAATAGTTCTTAAACCATATTTTTAAATTTATATCATTTTTTATTGTTGCATTGTTATTTTTAATTTTTTTCCCTAATATTTTCCATCTATGGATGTGGAACCCATTGACATGGAAGGCCAACTATATAGCTGAACCTATTTCTGATAGCCTAGAGGTACCTCAGGAACAGGTAAAGTTAAAAAACAAAAGCTATAGTACCAAGATATCCTCAGGAGCCAACAAGTACTGTACTTAGTACTCTTCACCATACACTAAGTAATCACAGCCTTCTATGTTCCTGCACTCTTCTGAGTCTAATGGATTTGGTGGCCCTCATAATTGATCTTTCTGCTGTGCCTTCTTGTTGCTGCCCCTGCTGCTACAGGTTAGCTCTGCACACACATTTCACACACATACACCTCCCCTTGAATTGTCTTATCATGTTAGAGTGGGCTGGGGAAACTAACCAATGTTTAAAAATGCATATAAGGCTGGGCACGGTGGCTTACGCCTGTAATCCCAGCACTTTGGGAGGCCAAGGTGGGCAGATCACCTGAGGTCAGGAGTTCGAGACCAGCCTGGCTAACATGATGAAACCCTGTCTTTACTAAAAATACAAAAAATTAGCTGGGCAAGGTGATGGGTGCCTGTAATCCCAACTACTCGGGAGGCTGATGCGGGAGAATCAGTTGAACCCTAGAGGCGGAGGTTGCAGTGAGCTGAAATCTTGCCACTGCACTCTAGCCTGGGCAACAAGAGCAAAACTCTGTCTCAAAATAAATAAATAAATAAATAAATAAATAAATAAGCATATAAAATAAGAAAAGGCTAAAACAACTCTGATATTTTGGGGGCATTTACTTAGTGTAAAGACCTTTCACTTGCTTTGATATTTTCCTCTATATTTTGGATCATTACATTTACCAGGCAACTTTTTTTCCAGATAAGTGAATTATTATTGTATTCTACTTCCTTTATAATATTTTTAAGCATTATTCTTTATATTTAATGATAGGAAAGGATTTTGGTTGAGTGTTCATCTCTATAGTTTTCTTTTTATATATCCTGCATGTTAAAATAGGTTAGAAATTTTTTAAAAAAACAGGAATTCATAAAGGCATACCAATAATTAATTGATAAAACAAATGGAGAAAAAGGAAATACTCTTGCTTATGGTAGAGTGTTGAGAGATTGTTGAAGTTAGAAAATCATCATTTTGCAACCAGTTAGGGCAAAGATTGGGTAAGGCAAAAACCATCTTATATCTAAACATAGGAAGAAATGTTGATGAGGAACAAGATATTTGCATGATCTTAGAGTATTTTTCCATAGACTTCTTATTAGTTGCAAGGAAATGAGTAATTATACACTGGATAAATTGGACAAAACCCTCACCAGGTGATCAAAATTAACATCACAATTGAGGGACAGACGGACATCATTTGCCTCCAGATGTGATTCCCCGAAGACATAGCATATAATGAGGAAATGAGGAATCTAATGAGGAAATACCAGACAAATTCCAAGTGAGCAACGTTTTGTTTTGTTTTTTAAAAGAGGTAAGGGGTGCTGTATCCTTCAAAGATGTCACTGTCATAAAAGACAAAGGCTGTGAAAATATTCCAGCTGAAGAGCCATGACAACTAAATGTAATATGAGATACTAGACTAGATTCTTTCCTGGAGGAGGAAAAAAATGCTATATTGGACATTATTCAGTTAATTGGAAAACTGATGGTAGATTGATCAGATAAAAATATTTCATCAATGTTAAAGTCACTGAAATTGGTAACTGTGCTGTGGTTATGTCTCTATTCTTAGACAATATATACTAAAGTATTTCAGAATAAAGGGCCAGGACATAGGTATGGTTCTGAAAAAACACACACACACACACACATATATAGTGAGAGAGAAAACAGAAATGATAAAAAGGTAAAATGTTAATAATAGGCGACTCTGGGTAAAGAGTAGATATTATTTGCAGTCTTTCTATAATTTTGAAATTAGTTCAAAATAGAACGGTTTATTTAAGGTTACAATTTTAAAGAAGCAAGAGCAGCAGAAGTAAGCAATTCATAGACTATAACATCAGAGTAATTTTAAATAACCACCTTACTGCAAGATCCCTTATGCTTTCTGAAGTTGTTGACTGCCTCCATGAAATTGTCTCACCTTTCAGGTTAAAATTAGAGACAAGATGTCTTATAATTGAAGAGGCATCTTATTCACCTTTTCATTTTATAAATGAGGGAACTGAGACTCAGAGATTCAAGAGACTTGCTCAAAGTCCCTTAACCAGTTATGACAGAGGACAATCTTGATTCTACTTCTATCTCTACAACTGCTAAGCTGCTACTGCCAGTTTCTATCACTGTCTCTCTTCTCTCCTTCCTGACTCTGAGTTTCCTAATAGCTTTGTATTGTCTTCTTTCTATGATTATACAAGGAACCCATATGCGGCCTTACTCTTTGAACTATCACTGCTCCACTAGTAATTCTTACCCAGGCTTCTGTAGCACATCTCTCATTGCCCCCATGATGTCTACATTAGGACATTTCATCATCAGTTCAACCTCTGTAGGTTCAAACTGAAAAACAAATAGAAGAAAAAATTGTAACGGCTAAGAAAATCTATTCAACCTTACCAATAATCAAAGAAATGCACATTAAAACAAGATTTGTTTTGCCTAATAGCTTGCCCAATTAATAAGATTTGTAATATTTTGTTCTAGCAAGGATGTGGCCCACAGACTCTTTCATACCCTGGGTGTGTAAATAAGCATATCTCTTTCATGTACAATTTGCCAAAGTCAATGAAAAACATAAATGTACATAGACTTTGATCCAGCAATTTCACACATAGGTATTTGTCTTAAAAAAAATACTGTGATGCTGTTCAAAGAGATATACAAGACTGTTCATTAAGCATTGTAATAGCAAAAATTAGAATAATATATGTCCATCAATAGGTGAGTCAGTAAATACAAAATCACAGTATGTTTTTACAATGAAAAGATAGCTCTATATGAACCAATATTGGAAAAAAAAGTTGAAGAGAAATATGCATACTATGATTTCATTTCCTTTTATGTACATAGAAATCAGCCTAGAAAGCTATACAACAGATTATCACAAGATAATAGAATTGGGGGACGGAGAAGAGAACTTTCATTTTCTACTTATATATTTCCATTGTTTGTTGTTGTTGGAGGGTTTTTTTGCTAGAAGCATGTATACCTTCTATAAAAACAACAAAGGTGTTGCTTTCTTTTTAAACTGAAAATATTTAATTCCTTAATCAACATCCCCTGCAACATCACTGTTTCCATTATTTCTTTTCTCTCTCAGGCTTTAAAATGACCTTTAACTCTTTTTCTCTCCTTCGTCATGTATCCATTTAGTCCTGACTCTTGTAAAAAATTTTATTGCAATTATTAGCCCCAACCACATATGTAGAAAGGTAATTCTAACTGATCTCTTAGATTTAGCTACTCCCCACCCCCTTCTTTTCACACACCTTTTCCTACACCACTATCTTCATTGTGTCACATGTCTTCTTCATCCTCCTCACTTCCCAATTCAAAAATCCCTAGCTGTTGCTTTTTGATTTAGTAAGGTGATATCTAGGGACTACCATTGCCCCAGTCTCCCCTACTAATTCACTTCATCACCACTCTACACACTAGCCAAACCATTCTTTTATGTATTCAATAAGCAAACACTTATTCTCTGATCACCAAATACTCCCCTACTCCTATCATTTCATTGCAGTACACCTTTTCCCTACCCTTTCTCTCTGTCTGTTCTAACAGTTTCTTTAGGATCTGACTTAAGACCCACCTCTACTCCTTCCTAGAGGATGTGCTGATTGATATGTCTATTTCACACTGACGTCTCCCTTCTCCAAATTCCTGTTGAGGTTTTCATTGGCATCCTGTCTCACTTTGGCAATTTATTATATAATGCCTTACAGTTTTGTCAAAGTGTGAACTTCTCATATCCCCCAACAGACTGTAAATTCCTGGAGAGCACGATCCCTGATTTTTTCCCTGGATTCATTTTTGCTGAGCATTTATAATAGACAGACAATGCATTAAATGCCTCACCTATGTCACCTTATTTAGTTCTCACAACAATCTTGAAAGGTAGATATTTTTGCTACATTTTGGTAGTGGGACAAGGTTAAATGACTTGTCCAAGGTCATGCTGCTAGGAAATGGCAAAGTGAGTTATCAGATCCAAGCAGACCGATTCATAGTCTCCATGCTCTATTGCCTCCCTATAAAACTGCGTTTCCCATGTATTTGTCAGTTAACAACACAATGTCACAGATGTCAATGAGGCTTGAAAGATACTTATTGAATATAATATGCTTTGTGCTATCAATCAGCAATCCAACATGTGCTACTCGGTACACGTCTAATACAGGTTTAGTATTTTCTATTATTTAGTCCTGTTATAGAAACTTATTCAAGAGCTCCGCAGAGTAAAACTAGTTTCAAAATCTTAACACTTTTAGAATAATGGGAAAGTTAAATTGGAAAAAAAAATGGCATTAGGTTCAATTCCTCATTTTGTCCACCCAAGTGTATTAAAAATATATGTTTCAGGAGATAATTTTCTACCATAATAGCACAGTAATAAAGTTGGTTATCACATTACAGATGGGAAAGGCTTACTGCATAACCACTGAGTCTACTTTCCTGGAGAGATGCAATTCTATCTGTGGTTTCACATTCCAGAAAGAAAGATTCTTACTCCTTCTGGAAATTAGTAACATAAGCATTTTAAAGTACTTATGTTAGATCAACCAGTACATTTTATATAATTTTTACTACATTTAATTGAGACCACTCAGCAAGAGAGACTTTCTTAATTATGATATAAACCAACATATACAGGCTTGATATTCATTGTTGAGTGCTGGCAATTGTATTTGTCACTAAAAGGCACTATAACAGAGTAGTTATTAATTAAGATTGTCAGACTTGAGAAAGTATAAGTGGTAATAAAATTAGTTACAAATTGACTTTCAAACTACGACTCTAGTTAGAAAACATGACTTCAAAAATGAAAACAGCCGGATATGTTAGTCATTTTTCAAAAAATTGGTAGGAATGTACTGATATGTATTACACTATAAATGTTAACAGCATACACATTGAACCTAAAATAAAATCACTTCAAAACTAATGAATGGGCTTTAGGGCTGAGTTACATCTAAATATAAATACTCACGAAGACTTACTTATACTTTTGTTCCTATCAATGTTATTAATTTTGAAATATACCCACAACAGAGGCAGTGCTTCTGGCAGATAAAGCCAAATTTACTGACCACCTTCTATACTTGGTAAATTGAATATACATGTTTATCTGTGCTACCTCCCCAAATTTCCCTAAAATTATAACAAAGAACAAAAAGAATGGAAGAGATGCTAACAAATGATAAATTTTGGAAGATAGTGAAAAAGACAAATAGTAATTGAGTTAGCTAAGCAGAGAAAAATGAAATCAACTGCCTGTAGAGGTGAAAGGCAAAAATAAGCCAGCTGATTTGCACCGCAGAACTTTGGAAATTTTAGGAATTGGAGACACCAGATACTAAGGAAAATGGGGATGAGAAATGCCTCTAAAAACAAGATTGGATAAAAGTCTGTAAAAAGAACAGTTGCAGCCTCTGTCCTACCTCAAGCTACCACGCCACCCCCACCCTAAAGGGAGAATGCACTTTTGCTCTGTGGAGATTTAAACCGGAGAGATTGAGGAGAGGTATCTGACTCTTAATTATGAGCAAGCAGTGCAGCACCACCAAACATTTTAGGAAAGTCTCTAACATGATAGGCAGAGAGCATCTCCCAGTCCCAACCAACACCCACCCCCTCACCAGCCCCCAACATACCTGTCCCCTCCAGAAAACAAATGGCAGGAACAGGGAGAATTTTTTTTAAGTTTAATTAATATCTGTGGAAAGATACAACATTGCGTTCATTAACATTGCATTCAAATAAGGCTATGATGCTATGAAAAAGTTACAATCAAGAACAGAAAAAGGCTCTTACAAATTACAAATATAATAGCTAACATAAAGATATTAACAGGAAGTTGGAAGGTAAATTGAAGTTTCCCAGAGAGTAAAAGACTCTAGCCCAGGCGTGGTGGCTCAAAGCCTCTAATCCCAGCACTTTGGGAGGCCTAGGTAGGAGGACTGCTTGAGCCCAGGAGTTCGAGACCAGCGTGGGCAACAAAGTGAGAAGCTGTCTCTACAAAAAAATACAAAGAGTAGCCAGGTGTGGTCATGTGTGCTAGTGGTCCCAGCCACTTGGGAGACCAAAGTGAGAGGATCACGTGAGCCTGGGAGGTTGAGGCTGCGGTGAGCTATGACCATACCACTGCATTCCAGCCTGGGCCACAGAGTGAGACCTTGTCTCTAAAAAACAAACAAACAAAAAAACTCTAGACCTAACCATATTTTAACTCTACACTGAGCTAAGAATGTAGGCAAATCAGTGCTTTATAAATTGCTAATGGGAAAGAAATTGGTAAAATTTCTCCTGAGGACAGTTTGGCAATTTCTCTCAAAATTAAAAATGTTACAAATTCCATTTCCAGGAATTTTATCCTACAGATAAAGTCACTTGTGTTTAGAAAGAGGTATACGCAAAGATAGTAATAGTAAAAGACTAAATATACTAAATGTCATCAGTAGGAGACTGTTCAAAAAATTACATTACACCCATACACTGGAATGCTGTGCAGCCATTTTAAAAATGAGGTTGCTCTAAATGACCCACATGGAATGATTTCTATGGCATACTGGAAAAAGCAAGATATGGAACTTTGTGTTTAAATACAGAGAGCACATTTCTAGAAGAATACACCAGAATTGACAATGATGATTACCTCCGATAAGGGGAACTGAGGGCTGGGGTATGGGTAAGAGGGAGACTAAGTTTTCAATGTGTGCCCTTTTGTATCTTTTTAATTTTGTATCTATTTTTTAAAACTATTTTTAATCTATAGAGTTAATGCTTCCATTTATCTTCATTAAAATTTATTCATCTCTAATCAAAATAAAGTTTGTAACTCTCATCTGATTTATTCCTAAATCCTTTACGATCTTTTGGTTCAAGTGCCCAAAATAAGACCCTGAACTATAATAAACAATACCCTTGAATTGAACATGGCATCTTATTATAATCAATTAAGGTATACCGTCCTCTTTTTGGTTTTTAATTATATGGCAATACTGATAACTGGTGATCCTATATTTTATCATAGTCATTGTGCATGTACCTCTTTTCCTACACTTCTACCATGACCTACAGCCTCTAGTAAAATGGTGGCCCTGAGTGACTGTGAACCTGTACACATCCCTCCCCTGACCTGCAAAGGTGATGGAGGACCTAGGCCAAGCTCAATCTTCCTGCTTCCCCCAGGAATTTGGAAAAGGGTCACTGAGAAACAGTCAGTTAGCCTTGGAAGCCAAACCACAAAGTTATGTAATGCTTGATTAATGGCAGAAAAGACACAAGTAAGCAGAGAAAGGAAGCCAGTCTCCAACGAGAGGTACAAGGCTGATGGGGGACAGAAACCACATGAGAGATGATTCCTGTCTTTCCAATTCCAGACCCATTGGCCTTTTTTTGCTTGTATATCCTGGTGCTTGTCTGCTGTCTGTTTCTTAAGCTGGTGCGAGTAGTTTTCTATTCCTTGTGCCAAACCATTTCCTTTCTCCCTCCCTCCCTCCCTTCCCTCCTCCCTCCCTTCCTTCCTCCCTTCCTTCTCTCTCTCTCCCTCCCTCCTTCCCTTCCTCCCCCCTCTTTCTCTTTCTTTCTTTCTTTCCCTTCCTTCCTTCCTTCCTTCCTTCTTCCTTCCTTCCTTCCTTCCTTCCTTCTTCCTTCCTTCCTTCCTGCCTTTCTTTTCTTTCTTTCAAATGAGGTCTTGCTCTGTTGCCCAGGCTGGAGTGCAGTGGCATGATCATGGCTCACTGTGGCCTTGACCTGCTGGGCTCAGGTGATCCTCCCGCCTCAGTCTCCTGAGTAGCTGGGGCTACAGACGTGCACCACCACACCCAGCTAATTATGATACAGAGTCCTTTTTTCTTTCTCTCTTTCTTTTTCTTTCTCTTTTTTTCTCTTTCTCTCTCTTTCTTTCTCTTTCTTTTTCCTCCTTCTTTCCTTCCCTCCCTCCCTTTCCCCCTTCCATCATTCCTTCCTTCCTCCCTTCCTGCCTTCCTTCTTTCTCTATCCCCTCTCCTTCCCCCCCTCCCCTTTCCCTCTCTTTCTTCCTTTCTTTCTTTCTTTCTTTCTTTCTTTCTTTCTTTCTTTCTTTCTTTCTTTCTCTTTCTTTCTTTTCTTCTTTCTTTCATTCTTTCTTTTTCTTTCTTTCAAATGGGGTATTGCTCTGTTGCTCAGGCTGGAGTGCAGTGGCATGATCATGGCTCACTGCGGCCTTGCCCTCCTGGGCTGAGGTGATCCTCCCACCTCAGTCTCCTGAGTAGCTTTTCTTTTCTTTCTTTCTTTCTTTCTTTCTTTCTTTCTTTCTTTCTTTCTTTCTTTCTTTCTTTCTTTTCTTTCTTTCTTTCAAATGGGGTCTTGCTCTGTTGCTCAGGCTGGAGTGCAGTGGCATGATCATGGCTCACTGCGGCCTTGCCCTCCTGGGCTGAGGTGATCCTCCCACCTCAGACTCCTGAGTATCTGGGGCTACAGAAACGCACCACCACACCCAGCTAATTAAAAAAAATTTTTTTTTGTACAGAAGGGTGTCACTGTGTTGCCCAGGCTGATCTTGAAATCCTGGGCTCAAGCAATCCTCCTACCTTGGCTTCCCAAAGGGCTGAGATATAGACTATTTTCCAGCCTCCTTATTAAAGACTGGTCTTTTATTTATTAATACTTCTCACTATTTATCCCAGTAGAAATAACATTATAATGGGAGCAGGGTGATGTGGAAGTTAGTCCCTGTTCTCCCAGTGAACCACAATAAACAACTCAACCTTCCTTTCTATATCCAGTTTCTTTTACTTTAAAATTAGGATGAGAATATTTGCCTTATCTTCTTTATAACTTTAGCCTGAGGATTAAATAATATTACAAAAGCAAAGATAAATTTGAAAAGTGTTTTAAGGCTGGGTGCGGTGGCTCACGCCTGTAATCCCAGCACTTTGGGAGGCTGAGGCAGGCACATCACTTGAGGTCGGGAGTTCAAGACCAGCCAGGTCAACACGATGAAACCCCATCTTTACTAAAAATACAAAAATTAGCCGGTCATGGTGGCAGGCACCTGTAATCCCAGCTACCTGGGAGGCTGAGGCAGAAGAATTTTTTGAGCCTGGGAGGTGGAGGTTGCAGTGAGCTGAGATCATACCATCGCACTGCAGCCTGAACGACAAAGCTAGACTCTGTCTCAAAAACAAAACAAACAAAAAAAAAGTTTTAAAATTTCAGGTATTATAAGTAGTATTATGGTTATGTGTCATAATGTCAATTTCAGAGCACTTCCTGAAATCACTGAAGTTAATTTGAGTGTTTGGTGTTCACTTGAAGTTGTGAGACCTGCAGGGTCTTAGTCGTCTCCATTTTCTTTCCTTTGTTTCCAAATTGCTGACCCGGATCAAAACACCAATGTGCAGGCTGGGCTGTGTTTGCCTACTTCCAGATTTGTCCCTCAACACTATCTTTCAGACACCTTCCAATTCTCCGCTTCCCCAACCCCTGGCTAGCCTTGTCCTACCCATGTCCAGGTCAGGCTCCTGGAAAATGAAGCGGGCCCACCTTGCCTGGAAAGGGAATTCACACAAACTTACCTGGGTAGCACTTAATCAACACACCCCATTCTCTCCTGAGTTGTTCAAATGATAAACCCACGTCAGGCTCCAAACTCGCATTGTAAAATCTCATTCTCCTGCCACATCTCTGCAATATCTTAAGAGAGACAGCCAGCTCATGGTATCAGAACAATTAATCATCTTCAACATCTATCCCCCTTCAGGAAGGACAAAGCTCCATCCCATTCTTCTTACAAACATATGCTGTCTTCTGACTTCTTTTCCTTGGATATTTATTTCAATTTGATATTACCTGAATACATCTATTTTCCATTATGCAGGGCACCAGTATGATTTTCTCAGGTTTCATACAACCCCCTAGCGACAGCCAAATGGATGCTTAAGCTACAAATGAGTTAGGTTTCAAATGAGGTATGAATCCTATTCAATTAACTGTATAAAATTTGTTATATAACCAGCAAACAGAAGTTTAAGTCTAAAAATAGTATTCAAGATCTAGGACAAGAGGTGGAGACAAAAAGTCAGGAAGAATATGAAATCCTCAGGAAAAGAAATAATTCAACTACTAGGTTAGTATTTGTTTTCTACAGAAAAACTTCCAACATAACCCATGCTATAGTGGGATTTAGAACATACTGATAAGAAACTAAGTTTCCTCCTTGAATGTCATCAGGAAGAAACTAAAAGTGTAAACTTGGAAATTGTAACATGTTAAAAATCTCTCTTCACATGAAAAAAAGAATGTGTTATAATAGAAAAAATATAAAAAGAGGAGTCTGGAAAAATAATTGTCTGGACACAAAAGTGATCACATAGTTAATACAAATATTCTTAGAGTGGAAAATGTCAATCTTTCTGACTCATACCAAGCAATTTCTTGATACACAATCTATTCCTAAAATGAATCTCTCTACCAGGAATGGTGGGGGGTGGAGATGGAGAGAGGAGAGTCAGGGGTTGTACAGATGATCAGTTCTGTTGGTTAGCTATGTAATCTAATAAATTCTTATTCTGATTCATTTCTTGTTCATTTAATGGGAGTCTCATCAGCCTCTGAACAGCCTGATTAAATTTCTCATCCTGCAAAGGCAAGGTAGAACTAGTCTTAATAGCTATTGTACCCCACGAGGCCCTTCCTAAAGGACTAGATTCCCCTCATGTTCCTCATGTTCATTTTTACATTTGGCATCTGAGCTCCTTTGTGCACCAAAGACTAACCCATTTTTTAAATGTGCTTATTATTGTGTTGCCAGTTGGCATTGCCCTTCCGTGGCACTCTCTGTCTTGTATTTCATTAATGTATAACTTCTTGTAATAGACTATAAGTTCCTTGAGGATAAAGGTGTCTTTGAATTTGTAGTCCTTTATTACCACCATCCCAATGCCTCGCACACAGAAAGTTTTCACTGAAAGGTTTTCATACATAACAAATTGAGGTGAACAATACTGATAATGGACAAGTTACTTTACCAAAGTCCTCAAATTAAAATTTCCACAATGATTAAACCACAGCTCCTTCAAAATCCAGGTCATGGCTCACTTTCTCCAGAAAACATTCTCTTTTATCCCTTGTTTCCTTAATTCTTATTTCTTGATTTTTATTAGGGATATGACAGTGCATACCTTGACTAAAGAAGCTGTTTTTAATGTTAGACATGTTTCTTTTTCTTTTTCTTTCTTTCTTTCCTCTTTTTTTTTTTTTTTTTGAGACAGAGTCTCGTTCTGTCACCCAGGCTAGAGTATAGTGACGTGATCTCAGCTCACTGAAACCTCCACCTCCCAGGTGCAAGCTATTCTCCTGCCTTAGCCTCCCGAGTAGCTGGAATTACAGATACACTCCACCATGCCTGGCTGATTTTTGTATTTTTAGTAGAGTCGATGTTTTGCCATATTGGCCATGCTGGTCTTGAACTCCTGACCTCAGTGATCCACCCGCCTCATCTTCCCAAAGTGCTGGGATTACAGGCGTGAGCCACTGTGCCCGGCCTGTTGTACCTGTTTTAAAGACATATTATAAGCAGATGCTTTCTCTTCCCAGCTAGTTTCTAAGTATTTTTGAAAGTAAGGAACCATATCTTCAATTTCCTCACACAATTCATACACGATTCTGCATACAGTTTTAACTAATATTTATCCAGTGCTTTCCAGGTACCAGGTGGTTTTTAAACACTTCATATGGATTTGATCATTCAACCCTCATGGCAACACTGCAGTACTAGACATAAGTAACTAACTCAAGGTCACACAAAGAGAAAGTGGCAGCACCAGGATTTGATCTTGGGCAGTCTTGCTCCAGAGCCCCTTGTCTTAACCACCCTACTTTACTGCCTCCTAAACAAAAAAACATTAATACAAATCTGCTTTATTGCCCTGTAGACAGAAAACATTACAGTGGCTTCAAGAACAATTGGTTTAATCTAAAAAGTTTATTACAGGCATGCTTTTTGGTAAATGGTGGTTTGTGCTGTAGTCAGACAGAAGAGATTTTTCTGCTCCTTTTGTTTCTCTCTTTGCTCCTTTTATTATTTATATTGCTAAAATAGCTGCCTTACTACCATAATGTGATTCTGTTTTTCATGGAAAATACTGCACTACCACCAAGTTATCCATAACACCACAACTTCTTGACAGGTTGGTCATTTCTGACACTTGTGTATGTCTCAGAATGTCAGTCCCAAAGCCCCTTGCTGCTGCTGCCTCACATACAACAGCAACAGCAGATTTACCTGAGGGTGGGTCTCTGCTACTTACCAGCTGTGGAACCTGTTCTTTAGTTTTTTTTTTTTTTTTTTTGGATGGAGTCTGCTCTGTTTCCCAGGCTGAAGTGCAGTGGCGCGATCTCGGCTCACTGCAACCTCTGCCTCCTGGGTTCAAGTGATTCTCCTGCCTCAGCCTCCCATGTAGCTGGGATTATAGGCATGCACCACCACAGCTGGCTGATTTTTGTATTTTTAGTAGAGATGGGGTTTCACCATGTTGACCAAGCTGGTCTCAAACTCCTGACCTCAGGTGATCCGCCCACCTTGGCCTCCCGAAGTGCTGGGATTACAGAAATGAGCCACTGTGCCCAGCCCCAGCTGTGGAAACTTGGGCAAATCATTGAAATTGTCTTCACCTCAGTTCTTCATCAGACAAACAAGGACAATAAAATCTTCATGAGAGCGTTATTGTAAGGTTCAGAGATGATGTAGGGAAAGTAACTAGCACAGCCTCTGGCACACAGTAGGTGCTGAATTAATAGTAGTTGTTATTATTCTCTTAGCAATTCATACAAGCATTGCTGCGCAAGAATTATCAACATAGAGCTGTTCTTAAAGATCTGCCACTCACTGAGCCTCCTGGTACTGTAGTTTTTTTGTTGTGCTGTTGTTAAAACTGTTTCAATTATAAATCTCACAGATTCTTGTGCCCCATTAATCAGTGAAAGGACATAGTGTCTTTATGGATTTGCATATTATTGCTTTAGATCCCAGTCACTCCAGAGAATTTGCCGTGAGGCAGCTGGTCATTTCACCTTCCTTGGTTAGTCCCACAGCTGTCAAATAGATAGAACAATGACATTATTGATTTGGGATGTTTCTTGCAAGTAAAGAATAATAAATTAAAAATTTCCTATCACTCTCCTAATGCAAAGATGCAAAGTTGTCTATAAATGTGTCTCATAGGTCCTTAATACTTTTTTTTTTTCTTTTGAGATGGAATCTCACTCTGTCACCCAGGCTGGAGTACAGTGATGTGATCTGGGCTCACTGCAACCTCTGCCTCCTGGGTTCAAGTGATTCTCCTGCCTCAGCCTCCCAGGTAGCTGGAATTACAGGCATGTGCCACCATGACCCAGCTAATTTTTGTATTTTTAGTAGAGATGGGGTTTCACCATGTTGGCCAGGCTGGTCTCAAACTCCTGACCTCAGGTGATCCACCTGCCTCTGCCTCCCAAAGTGTTAGGATTACAGGCGTGAGCCACCGCACCTGGCCAGGTCCTTAATACTCTGAACAATTCAGGGCAGATTGTACAAATCAATCTTTGTCAATGAGGAATTATTATGATTTGGGTTGTTGCAATACCTAAAAGGAAAAAGACAACAAGTTATTGATACTATGATCAATTTTAAGATTAAGCAGTGTCGAACAAAATAATCTTGCATTTGGAGGAGTCTTGAAGATCTCCCCATTTTCCTCTCTTCTTCCACCTCCTCCTACTTGATATTTAGATTCCTTTATAAAGAATGACAAAATGTCATTCAGCCTCTGCTTCACCCCCACCATGCAGCTCATGAAGACAAGACAGCTTGCAATTACCAATCTCTAGTTGGCCAATACTGTTCATAAATTCAGATTCTATTGTCTTTTTTAAAATTAAGCATTTCAGTGGCATATTGTGCTGTTCAGCCCATTAAATGCACATCACTATTCTTATTTCATTGAACAGCATTAGTTATGAAGGTAAGGCTACTAAATTAGAACTGTAGAGTCCTGGGGACCTGGGCTGTAGTTGGAGTTGTGTCACTAGTACAGACAAGTCAACCACAGCAGGCTCCAGTTTATTCGATTGTGAAATGCTGGCTCTCTGTCTGACCTGCCCAGCTGCAACCTCCCTGCTCAGCAGACAAGCAGGCCCCAACTTACAAATGATCCTGTTCCAAAAGACCATGGAAACTTGTTACTTGGAACTCAGAAACTATTTTCCTATTGGAACAACATTATAAATGACGGTTGGGATCTCAGGTTTGTCCACAGCAATCTACTTCATTCATAAAGGTAGTTAAATTATGATATCATTCCAAGGGTAAGAGGGATGAAAAAGAATTTCTTTTTCCTTTTCTGGATGCAAGTCAACACTAGACAAAACTTTGAAATACGTGCTGTTTACCTTGGCAGCTTCCCACTTCCATTCCTTTTCCTCTCTTCCATCTTCTTAATGTCCTTTAGGGACCCAAAGGATCCAACCCACACCTGTTTCACTCTACAAAGTTACTAACTTTCTCTATCCTCTCCATTTCCACCCTACCATTCTCCTACTGCTCCTCCACCCCCATCTTCCATCTCTAACCCCGCTGGTCTTCGCCCTGCCCCCACCTTGTCCTCCCATCAAACTTCCACTCCTTCAGTGAAGCTGTCCTCAGCTAGATTAGGGAGAAGGAAATCTGATTTAAATAATCTGTAAATACCTAAGCTTAATAAGAGCTGACATTCACATAGTGCTTCCTGTGTGCCTGGCACTATTTTAAGCATGTATCAACTCTCTAGATTCTCAACAACCCTGTGAGAGAGGTGCTATTATCTCCATACCACAAATGAGGAAACTGAGGCACAGAGAGGTTAAGTGACTTGTCCAAGGTCATAACGCTATAGTCAGTGGTAGAGGTGGTATTTGAATCCATGCAGTCTTATACTGAAGCCTGTGATCTTACGCTCATTTTAAAGAAGTCTATTTTCTTCTTTAAAATGAATGCTTAACCCAACTGAGTCTCCACATCTTAAGCAGCATAACAGAGAAGTAAACAACATTTAAGTAGTGTCAGAGAAGATATTCTGGGACAGGCAGGCACAAGGCCAGAGTGAAAAGTGAGAATGAGGCCGGGCATGGTGGCTCACGCCTGTAATCCCAGCACTTTGGGAGGCCGAGGCGGGCTGATCACGAGGTCAGGAGTTTGAGACCAGCCTGGCCAACATGGTGAAACCCCATCTCTACTAAAAATACAAAAAAGTTAGCCAGGTGTGGTGGCAGGTGCCTGTAATCTCAGCTACTCAGGAGGCTGAGGCAGGAGAATCACTTGAACCTGGGAAAGCGGAGGTTGCAATGAGCCGAGATCGCGCCACTGCACTCCAGCCTGGGCAACAAGGGTGAGACGCCGTCTCAAAAAAGAAAAAAAAATAAGAATGCTTTGCAGGGCTCAAGTAGGTGATGAAAACGAATAAATGGTGGCTTTACTATTGGTGGCTTAGATTGGATTCTTTCCTCATAGGCACAACCTATAGGAATGTTCTTCCCATCCACAGAAAAAAGTTATCTCCTATGTTTCTTGATTCTCTCATTCTACCTTTCTCTTCCCAGTTTTGAAACAGATACAAGAAAAGGTTGACATTTCTCATAAAAGACCTATAAGACTGGCAGCAGTGTCAGTGCCAATAGTAACTGGAAATCAGCTCGGGTGCCTTGGTGTGCTGAGGCTCTCTCTGTGGCAACCAGACAGCATGTATCCTCTCTAGAGAGACAAAAGCTTCTCAGACCCAGGTGTTTTTTAGTAGGCAGGCAAGCAGACAGTTCCACTCCAGAGCCTGGACTCTTAACTGCTGTGTTATCCTGCCTGGGTTCAAGTCACACTTGGACAATGTTTTTAACATACTTCATTGTAAATGTATTGACTTTCACAGTTAATTGTTACAGCTGTAAACAAATTAGAAAGATGTCTGTACTTATCAGAACTCCTTCAGTTGCAAGTGCCATGAACCAATTCAAACTATCTGTAAAACACACATGTGTATTGGGATGTAAGGACACAATGTCAGACATGAACTAAATCTAGGGACCCAAGCAATATAATTAAGCCCCCTCTTTCCATCTTTCAGATCTTCTGTTGGTGTGTTGACCTCATCTATTTCTACAGATGAGAAGATAGCACCCCAGATACACATCCTTTCAGCCCATAAATCTCAAAATGAGGACAGGCTTCCACCCTAGCTCCAGCTGAAAAGTACCAGTGAAGGGCTTTGATTGGCTTATTTGGGGTTGTGTGTCCACCCCTGAGCCAATCACTTGACATGAGGAGCTGGATTTCTTTGATTAGCCAGGTCTAGTTTATTTATTTGTCACCATGATGTGGGGAGTAGATGGCAGAGTACTGTGACTGATAACCCCGCCATGCTCTAATAAAGTTGGATGGCTCTGGGCAATCAAAACTATAGCTGTCTCCTGTAATGTTCAATGTTATCTCCAGCTTGAAAATTAGGGAAATTAAAGAGACAAATTATAGCTTACATTGGATAACTCAAAAAGCCAAAACCAGCTTTAGGATAATCACTTTGTGTACTTAGCATATGCCTTATTGGCTATGACAAATGTCTAAATAAAAAGTGAAAAATTCATTCAATCATAAAGATGTTTCAAGATATTAATTTTGGTGTCTTACAAATATATAGGTAATTGACTGACTCTTTTTTTAAAATCTGGTTGTTTTAATACTATATAAACCCAACTTAATGCCATTCAGAATCTAGAACATGTAACCCTGAATCGTAATTACATAATTAAAAAAACATTGGATTTTAATAGGCAATTTATTGTCTTGCCATATCATGTTTCCACTCGACAAGCTAGAGCTAAACCAGAGAACTAATATAAGATAGAAAGGAGAAATTGCATTGCCATTACATTTCCATAATAGAGTTGAACAAAGAACTAAAATCAAGATATGCTTTATTTAAAAATTTGAAAATCATTGAAGTCTTTGTAAGTCTTTGCTATAATTTTCCATCACATTTAATTGGTATTTTATACAATGAAATACAAAAATGTCAACGAATTTTCTCTTCAAAGTTAATGCCTTGTCTGTTTCTCTTTCATCATATTCATTATCAATAGAGTGTGTTAAATCTCCAAATTCTCAGTTGTAATATGCTATGCAAAAGTAAAATAAACATTTAATTTTATATTGTTAAGTCAGATTTATTTCTCTACTTGCTAACAAAATAAATTTATTGAAGTTATACCATAAGCCAGGCCTTCATGCTAAGCATTGTTCACATATAACCCTTTTAATCCTCACCACAATCTTAAGAGAAAGAGACCATTTTACAGGTGAGGAAATAGGCACTGATGTAATCCTTAAAACAATCATCTGGGGTAGATAACATTTTAGTCCTCTACACTGATGAGAAAACTAAGGCTCAGAGTGGTTATGAAAATTACCCAAGTTCACAGAGCTAATAAGGGATAAAACTGAGATTTGAACTCAGGCAGTCTGGGTTCAAATCTCAGTTTTGGCCGGACATGGCGGCTCACGCCTGTAATCCCAGCACTTCGGGAGGCTGAGGTGGGTGGATCACTTGATGTCAGGAGTTTGAGACCAGCCTGGCCAACATGGTGAAACCCCATCTCTACTAACAATACAAAAATTAGCCTGGCGTGGTGGTGCGCTCCTGAAATCCCAGCTACTTGGGAGGCTGAGACAGGAGAATCACTTGAATCCAGGAGGCAGAGGTTGCAGTGAGCTGAGATTGCACCACTGCACTCCAGCCTGGACAACACAGTGAGACTCTGCCTCAAAAAAATAAAATAAAAAAAAAAATCTCGGTTTTATCCCTTATTAGCTCTGGTTTTGTGCTTACACTCTTAATCACTATTGTTTTACCTCTTCCAATTACTTAATAGTATATATAATATCAAATATACAACCTATAACCGATGGTAGTTAATGCTTAACCATAAAACATGTGTTAAACCTTGTTTTAGGATCCCCTTGGTCAAATTCTTCTCTATAGCTCTGTAGTTACCATAGCACCACTCTTCCCATATTCTCTTTTTGGAAAAAAAAAAAAAGTGGAAATAACTAATAGTAACAATTATTGTTTTCAAGTAAAATATGCCAAGATCTGTGTGTGCTTTTCTCAAAAAGACGAATTTCACAGTATTGCAATAATACAACATGGAATGCTTACATGTGCCTGTGGAAAAACTCTATGACCCAACTTGTGTCAGTTTCTTGTTTAATACTACAATAAAGAGCAGAGAAGGATCTGCTTATTAGGTCATTTGGACCCACCTCCAAATAGAATTAAGACTGGGACCTCTCCATAACTAATCATTTTTGCACCAAAAAGAAGGTCTCACTCCCTCTGCCTTTGAAGCAGCTGTTTGTGGGCAAAAATTCTTGTGTCTTGCGTAAGTCCCTTTCCAAAAAGTAAATGTGACACATCCAGGCTTGCTTGCATATATAAAAGTGAGGGGTGGTGGAGGGGAGGGAGACAGGGAGAAAAAGTATCACAGGCAGCAGCTAAAATCTTTGCGACTTTGTAGAGTTTGTTTAGACTTCTTTTGTGACAAGATTGCAGCCTGAAAGGGCCCCAACTGGAATGACAATTTTGTTCCAGGGAGGCCTCCTTAAGGATTAATCAAAGCACCTTAAATCCATGGGTCTTCCTACCTTTTAATGTTTTACCTATATTTCTGTTAAAAGTGAAGTTTGAAGTTAGAAACAGTGTTGGTTTCATGTTGGGATGGTATAAATTCAGAACATTTGAAGCAGTACAGGTAAATAATTCTTATTCTTTTAAATGAAACTATAATATTTTAAAGTATAAAATTTTAAAAGCATTTAATAAAACTAGTAAAAATTGTATGTGATTTATTTTAAAATTGGCATGATTTGTTTGATAAGTGCACCAATATACTTCAAATAGCATATAACCATATCCAAATATATATCAAATATGATATATTCAAGGCATATCATAAAAGTATTCTAATTTTGATTGTCACCTGATTTTAGTTTATAAAATATTTAATATATGTTCTCTTTTATTAGCAAGAAGTAAACTTATTTAATTATGATGAAAACTGTATATGTCAACTTAAATATGTGCAAGAGAACACATTTTTCAAAATTCTTATATAATATGCATAAGCTAAAAGCTTAAAGATCACTGCTCTACAGAATAAATTCCTGACTTTCAAAACCCTTCATAATCTGACCCCCTACTACCTCTTCAATTTTGGTCTTTTTCACATGTTTATGTGAGGTTTTAAAAAATCTTAGGTAAGATAAATGAAAATTTAAAAAATCATATTTACACATCTAGTGTAACTGCAGAACAGCAAAGTGAAAGAGATCTCAAAAAAAGACAGGGGGCGGGACACATTATCTTCAGAGGAATGAAAATTAGACTAAACAGCACCAGTGAAAGCCAGAAGGTGGTAAATCATATCTTCACTGGGTTGAGAGAAAATAATCTTCAACCTAAAATTGTATAGCCAGCAAAAAATCTTTCCAGAATTTGAGTTTGCCAATTTACTGAAGAAAATTCTAAAGAATATATTTCAAGCAAAAGTAACATAATTTCAAATGGAAAGTCTGAGATGCAAGAAGAAATGAGCAAAAACATGGTAAACATGTGAGTAAACATAAATCTAAACTAGATGAAACTATAACGACACCTTGTGGGGTTCAAAATCAATAAAGAATAAGTGCACATCTGCAATAACATATAAGTCAAGGGATAAATAGAAATAGAATGTTCAAATGTTCTTATGTTATTTAAGAGGGAAATAAAGGTATTGATAAATGTTAGAATTTGATAAATCAAGTAGGCAGACTAAAATGCCTTAGTCACTAAAAGAATAAGATTAGAGTGTATAACTTCCTAATTATTATAAGAAAAAACAGATGGGAGGAGAAAGATATATTCAATCAGTCTAAAAAAAGACAAGAAAAGATAGAAAAAAACACAGTGGAAGAAAAAACAAGACAAATAACACAAAATAAGATGGTAGAAATAAGCCAAAGATAGCCACAATTAATACAATTAATATATAATTATATAGTAGTAACCTATATTATGCCAGATAACACAATATATTTATTCATTCTCTTCATATAGTCCAACTAAATTACTAATAAATATCAAGGAGATAACTAGTAAAAACTCACCCATTTGAAAATTAACAAACACATTTTGAAATAGCTCAGAGAGCAAAGATGATAATGAAAACGAGAAAATATTTGTAATTGAATCATAATGAAAATACTGCAGTAGTACTCAGACAAAAGAAGAAAGTTTGAAAGTTAATGAGCCAAACACCCAGCTAAAGCAGCACAGATCCAAGGAAAGTAGAAAAAAGAAATAATTCAGTTAAGAAAACAGAAACTAATGGGAAAAATACATTAGATAAAATCAACAAAGTCAAAGTTTTCTGAAAAGATGAGTAAAATGGACAGAATTCTGGTAGCTTATCAAGAAAAAGAAAAGAGAACATCAATAAACAATACTGGGAATGAAAAAGGGGCCATGTTGTAGATATTGCAGACACTAAAAGGTGAGAGAATACCCTGAACAATGAACATGCCAAGAGATTTGAAAACTTCAGTAAAATGGAAACATTTCTTGGAGAGTATAACTTAAAACTTCCTCAAGAAGATACAAGAAAACTAAGTCTACAATTTTAAAAAATAAATACTTAGAAATCTTCCAACTAAACCAAACCAAAGCAAACATGCCATCACCACTACCTCCACCAGCTTTGCTGCCATTTCTACCATACATTCAAGGAACACATCATTTCAATATTTAAAAACTTATTCTAGGCTTGGCATGGTGGCTCACACCTGTAATACCAGCACTTTGGGAGGCCAAGGTGGGCGGATCACAAGGTCAGGAGTTGGAGACCAGTCTGGCCAATGTGGTGAAACTCCGTCTGTACTAAAAAATGCAAAAATTAGCTGGGCATGGTGACGCATGCCTGTAATCCCAGCTACTTGTGAGGCCGAGGCAGGAGAATTGCTGGAACCCAGGAGGTGGAGGTTGCAGTGAGCCAACATCATGCCAATGCACTCCAGCTTGGGCGACAGAGCGAGACTCCTTTAAAACAAAAACAAAAACAAAACTTATTCTAGGTTACAGCAAAGGAGAGAATAATTTATGATGTTTGGCTAACATAACCTTGGAATCAAAACTAGTAAGGACAGAACAAGAAACAAAAAGCTCAGTCTCAATTATGAACACAGTGGCAAAAATATAATACTAAACAAATTATTCATAACTGACTCCAGCAGGTTGAATTTATCCCTGAAATATAAGATACCTTAACATTAGAAAATTGATTAATATAATTCACCACATCAACAGAAAAAATGAGAATAATCTCATGATTATTCTAAAAATAAAGAAAAAGATTTGGATAAAATTCAATGTTCATCCATGATCATAATTTCAGCAAGTCAAGAAAAGACAGGCTATGTTATCATTTAGAGAAACATGTGAAGTATTTTATTTCTCCTCACATCAAGAGGTTCACTCTATTTCTGTTCCCCTTGAAAGTGAGCTTTCCTAGTGATTTGCTTTGACCAACAGAATACAATGGAAGTTACCTGTGTGATTTCTGAGTCTAGGCTTTGAGAGTTCTGTGGCTTCAATTCTACTTAGAAGCCCTAAACTGGCCAGGTGCAGTGGCTCACGCCTGTAATCCCAACACTTTGGGAGGCCAAGGCAGGTGGATCACTTGAGGTCAGAAGTTCGAGACCAGCCTGGCCAACATGGTGAAACTCCATCTCTACTAAAAAATACAAAAATTAGCCAGGTGTGGTGGTGGGCACCTGTAATCCCAGCTGCTCGGGAGGCTGAGGCAGGAGCATCGCTTGAACTTGGGAGGTGGAGGCTGCAGTGAGCCAAAATCATGCCATTGCATTCCAGCCTGGGTGACAGAGCAAGACCTCACCTCAAAAAAAAAAAAAAAAAAAAAGCATAAAAAATAAAGGTCATGACATCCTCATCTCAGACTCCTAGCCTGCAGAACTGTGAGGAATAAATGTCTATTGTTTAAGCCAAAAAAAAAAGCTTACAAATAAATGTAACAAGAGAAGTGTGTAATATATATCAAAAATTGTCTTTAAGTTTATTGAAATAATTAAAGATGGCCTATAAAAATGGAAAGACATACTATTTTATGTTTTAGAAGTCCCAATTTCATAAGCATGTAAGTTCTACCCAAATTATTCTAAAAATTCAATGTAATTTCAATCAAAATGACAACACAGGGTTTTTTTTTTTTTGTTTTGGAATTTAATAAGCTAATTTAAAAATATATATACAGGAACTAGTGGCCAAGAATAGTCTGAAGAAAAACATAGTTGGAGGTAGGGCAGGGTAACTGCCTTATAAGATAGCAAGACTTATTATGAAGCCGAAGTAATTAGGAGTGTGGTGTTAGTTTGGGAATAGAAAAATTGGCCAATAAAATAGAATAAAGAACCTATAAACAGATCCACATAGATGTGAAAAACTGAATTATGTCAGCACTGTCAGTGCAGGTCATGGGAAATCAATAAGTGGTACTGGGACAATTGTTTACCCATAAGGGAATAATTAATTTGGACCTCTACCTCATACCGTACCCCACCCCCCTAATCAATTCCAGGTGGATTATATACTTAAAAGTAAAAGGCAAAACTATACAACTTATAGAAAATAATATAGGATAGGCTAGGCGCAGTGGCTCACACCTTTAATCCCATCACTTTGGGAGGCTGAGGTGGATGGATCACTTGAGGTCGGGAGTTCAAAACCAGCCTGGCTAACATGGCGAAAAGTCATCTCTACTTAAAATACAAAAATCAGCCGGGAGTGGTGGCGAACGCCTGTAATCCCAGCTACTCGGGAGGCTGAGACAGGAGAATCGCTTGAACCCAGGAGACGGAGGTTGCAGGGAGCCGAGATCATGCCATTGCACTCCAGCCTGGGTGACAGAGTGAGACTCTGTCTCAAAAAATAAATAAATACATAAATACGTAATGTCTTCACAATCTCAGTGTAGGGAAGAATTTCTTGAACCAGACTTTAAAATCACAAACTCAAAAGAAAAAATTAATATTTTTAATTATATATATATTTGAAACCCTGGTCATTAAAGACGAGCCACAAACTTGGAGAACAAATCTGTAAAACATAACAGCAAATAATTTATAATCAGAATGTAAACAACTCTTACAAAGCTTGATATAAAAAAGGGAAAAACATTAGAATAGGAACTTCACAGAAGGAACCTGAATGCTCAGTAAAAACATGAAAAGATGCTTAACTTTATTAGTAATCAGGAAGATGAAAGTTAAGATTACAATGTGACACTGCTATGAAACCAGTTTGACTAAAACTAAAAACATAATAATACCAAGTGTTGACAAGTATATTGAGCAACAGAAAGAAACTCTCATAAACAACCAATAAGCATGCAAATTGGGACAATAATTTTAGAAAACTATTAGTGTTATCTAATAAGGTTGAAGAGGCATGTATCTTATAACCTAGCAATTCCACTGCTAGATAAATATTAATGCCTTAGAGAAACTTACACATGTGTACTAGGAGACACACACAAGAAAGATCAGAGTGGTATGATTTGCAAAAGCCAAAACCAAGAAACAACCTAAGTATTTATCAATAGTAAAATGGATAAATCAACAGTGGTATATTTCATACAACAAAATACCATACAGTGGTGAAAATCAATGAATTACAAATATATGCATGAATCTGAGGAATATAATTTTGGTAAAAGAGCAAGTCACAGATGAATACCCACTGCATGATCTCATTTGTAGAAAGTTCAAATACATGCAAAAGTAAACAATGTAGTGTTTAGGGATAAAAACTATAAAGGAAAGTAAAGGAATGTTATTTACAAAATTTAGGACAGTCCTTGTCTCTGTGGGAGAAAGGAAGAGGAAGTATAGGAAGGGGTTCACAGGTTAAATTTGATTTTTTAAACTTGAAGGTTGAAGGTTAGGTGAAGGATAACTCTATCTTATCTGTCAATCTATCTATCATTTTTGTTTTTTGAGATGGAGTCTGGCTCTGTCGCCCAGGCTGGAGTGCAGTGGCTCACAATCTCAGCTCACTGCAACCTCCGCCTCCTGGATTCAAGCGATTCTCCTGCCTCAGCCTCCCAAGTAGCCGGGATTACAGGCATGCGTCACCATGCCCGGCTAATTTTTGTATTTTTAGTGAAGACAGGGTTTCACCATGTTGGCCAGGCTTGTCTTGAATTCCTGACCTTAGGTGATCCGTCTGCCTTGCCTTCCAAAGTGTTAATATTACAGCCGTGAGCCACTGCGCCCAGCCCAATCTACCAATCTATCTATCTTATCTATCTACTCTATCTATCTAATCTATCTATCTATCTATCTATCATCTATCATCTATCTATCATCTATCTATCTATCTATCATCTATCTATCATCTATCTATCATCTATCTATCATCTATCATCTATCTATCTACCTATCTATCTATCTATCATCTATCTATCTATCATCTATCTATCTATCTATCATCTATCTATCTATCATCTATCTATCTATCATCTATCTATCTATCTATCATCTATCTATCTATCTATCTACCTATCTATCTATCTATCATCTATCTATCTATCTATCTATCATCTATCTATCATCTATCTATCATCTATCTATCTATCTATCATCTATCTATCTATCATCTATCTATCTATCATCTATCTATCTATCTATCATCTATCTATCTATCTATCTATCTATCTATCTATCTATCATCTATCTATCATCTATCTATCTATCTATCTATCATCTATCTATCTATCTATCATCTATCTATCTATCTATCTATCTATCATCTATCTATCTATCATCTATCTATCTATCTATCTATCTATCTATCTATCTATCTATCATCTATCTATCTATCTATCATCTATCTATCTATCATCTATCTATCTATCATCTATCTATCTATCATCTATCTATCATCTATCTATCTATCTATCATCTATCATCTATCTATCTATCTATCATCTATCTATCTATCATCTATCTATCTATCTATCATCTATCTATCATCTATCTATCTATCTATCATCTATCTATCTATCTATCTATCTATCTATCATCTATCTATCTATCTATCTATCTATCTATCTATCTATCATCTATCTATCAACTATCTATCTATCATCTATCTATCTATCTATCTATCTATCTATCTATCTATCTATCTATCCCTTTTACATAGTTAGTATTCTCTTCAATCCACTCAATATTTATTAAAGATTTAGTCAAGTGTCCAAAAATACTCTCACGTTTAATCAGGATGACCTCAGGTCATCCTCAGTTGCATCAGGTCATCCTGATTAAAGAAACCTCCATGTTTGTTTGCAACTGACAAAGCCTAAACTAACCAGTTGTGGTGGACTTTGCAAAAAGAAGGTCTTGGAAAGAGAATGATCTGATTTGCTTAGCCTCCCTAAAAGGAATGCAGCCAGATTTGGTGGTATGTGCCTGTAGTCCCAGCTACTCAGAATGCTGAGTTAAGAGGATCCCTTGAGACCTGGAGTTCAAAGTGTAGTGCACTATAATGGCACCTGTGAATAGTCACTACTGTCCAACCTGGGCAACATAGTGAGACCCCATGTCTTAAAAAAAAATAAAATAAACAGGTTGGGAGCGAAGGCTCATGCCTGTGTTCCCAGCACTTGTGGGCCAAGGTAGGTTGATTGCTTGAGCCCAGGAGTTTGAGGCCAGCCTGGGCAATATGGCAAACCCCATCTTTACAAAAAAATACAAAAATGAACTGGGTGTGGTGGCACATGCCTGCAGTCTCAGCTACTCTGGAAGCTGAAGTGGGAGGATCCTTGAGCCTGGGAGGCAGAGATTGCAATGAACTGAGATCCTGCCACTGCACTCCAGCCTAGGTGACAGACTGAGACCCTGTCTCAAAAAATAAACAAATAGGCTGGGCGCAGTGGCTCATGCCTGTAATCTCAGCACGTTGGGAGGCCGAGGCTGGCAGATCACTTGAGGCCAGGAGTTCAAGACCAGCCTGGCTAACATGGCAAAACCCTGTTTCTACTAAAAATACAAAAATTAGCCAGTCATGGCAGCGTACTCTTACAATCCCAGCTACTTGGGAGGCTGAGGCATGATCAGGAGGCTAAGCTGGGCGTAGTGACTCACATCTGTAATCCCAGCACTTTGGGAGGCCGAGACGGGTGGATCACTTGAGGTCAGGAGTTCGAGACTAGCCTGGCCAAAATGGTGGAACCCTGTCTCTACTAAAAATACAAAAATTAGCTGGGCATGGTGGCAGGCACCTGTAATCCCAGCTACTTGAGAGGCTGAGATAGGGGAATCGCTTGAGCCTGGGAGGCGGAGGTTGCAGTGAGCTGAGATTGCACCATTGCACTCCTGGGCAACACAGCAAGACTCCATCTCAAAAAAAAGGAAAGGAAAGTAGAAGAGAGGAGAGGAGAGGAGAGGAGAGGAGAGGAGAGGAGAGGAGAGGAAAGGAGTCTGAATCTGAGGCAGGAGAATCGTTCGAGCTCGAGAGGCAGAGCTTACAGTGGAGCCAAAATCATGTCACTGCACTCCAGCCTGGGAGACAGAGGGGAAACTGTCTCAAATATAAATAAAAATAAATAAATAAATAAATACTAATTAAAAAAATAAACCAAACAAATCAAAGAAATGCAGAGAGCAAGAATTTGGCAGTGTCTGTCAAATATCACCACGCACACACCATTTTATATTCTACTCCCTTATACCCTCTACCTCATTCCATTCATATTAATTTGCATTTTCAATATTTTTCACTTCTCCCTATTTTGAGTGGGTTCCCAGTTTCTCTCAATGGGAGAAAGTACATCTTCCATTGCTTTCCTGGGACTGGGGATTTTTCCCAGGCAAAATTTACCAGCAATAGAGTCAAAGCCTCCTCTTGGGTTTTGTAAAAATCCCAAGGCCCTTGAAGAGAATTATGAAGAGTGTCCTGGAGGAAAGAGAAGAGGGCAAATACTTTTCTTTCTTTCTTTCTTTCTTTTTTTTTAACTTTTGGAGAGAAATGGTAATTCTCTCCAGAAATTCCCCTGGATGGAGAAAGGGGGAGCCACAGGGAATCTCACACTGCTCAGCAGCAGTTTCCGGGAAGCATCAGCAGAGGCTGGCTGCATGTTGTATCTAAGGGCTAGGATCTCAGCACCAGGGGCCCAGTCTCAGCGAAGATTCCTGAACCTGAGCACTGGGTGTGTGGAAGGAGAATGCTGCTGGCTTTTAAGGGACCATAGGCTGGGTCCATGACCTCATTGCCATTCTCAATTTATAGAGACAGAATTGAAAGCTAATTCAGTTTTCTAGCTTGGCTGATCCAAAAAAAAAAATTAAATTATTGATGATTGGGGTATACAAAATACTTAACTTTTCACACAAATATATTCATAGTTTGTAATACTACAATACAAATACAAAGGTTCTAATAAGTTCTACTCTTCCTCATTCTCATCAAGAAAAAAAAATTGTGACATGTTTATAATTGTATGTATGGATAATTGTATGTATTGCATAATTTCTTCCCGATGGGAGAAAACTCGCAGTTTGAATAGGCATTCAAGATTACTGAAATTTCTACTTACAACATTACATATGTGAAGGCTAGAAGGGTTTCCCACAGATTAGCTTCTGACTCTACATTTCAAACCTTCTTTCTCTTTTGTTCCACTTACCTTCAATACTACAGGACATGTTCATGTTGCAATCTGGCTTTTTGACCACTGAGACCCTTGGGTCTCAATACTGGGTAAGCTGTCTCAGTGGCAGTAGAAGCACTCCCCAAAGGCATTCTGACATGGCGAAGTCAGCCCTCTAAACCCCAGCATACTGTAGCTCCAACTCAACTTCTCATTTGCCAGATCCCCAAAATGCCTGTGAGATACTCCAGTGCCACCCTACTCAAGAGGAAGTGTGACCGAGGAAGTCAGCGCACAAAGAGATAGTAGTCTTAACCAACTGCATGTAAAATATCTTACTTTTGAAAATCTTACAAAAAGTATGAATGTATCAACATATTACCAAGGCCACTCCAACAGCCTTGAAAGGGCCCTTGTAAGTGAGGGCCATGAAACTTAAGCTTTAATGGCCCAGTAAATCTGCTAGTGGGCTTGTAAATGTTCACTGAATGAGTAAATGAATCAAATGTGAAGCACCTGCAGCCTAGAACTTTTCGTAAAGTAGAAATTGTTCATCTTATCCTATCTAACAGGGCCTGGATGTGATGTCTTTTACTAATTCCATGCTCCTCAAATCTTCTGAATAAAAAAAATTTCCCCAGGTACCTTGATATAGGAAAGGTGGTGCCTAGACAGCAGGCCCGAGCATCCTGGTTGTGAAGAAAGTACATCTCCCATTGCAAATAGATAAGATGTCAGTCTGGATTGAGTATCAGTCTATCAGGAGTTTGGGAGTTTGGTTTGTGCAGTTGGGTCCTGAAAAAGTGACACTTCTGAGTGTCCCGACAAAACTGAGTTTCAGAATTTACCAAGCCAATGTGCCTACATGGAAATGCGGCACCCAGTGTACTGCCACCCAAAAAGCCAAGTCACTGCAGCTAGGTTGGCCTTTCGTAGGGAGATGCATCTAACTCAACAAGCATATGGCAAAACTGCCACTGTGAAGACTCAAAATAACATTCAAATTGGGTGAGAATTATAGATTAACTGGATCTTATACAGGTGACGTTAAAAAGGAGGGGGTTGCTCTTTTGCCACTGCCTTTCCATACTTTAAAAATAATTAATGCTTGGCCGGGTGCGGTGGCTTATGCCTGTAATCCCAGCACTTTGGGAGGCCGACACCAGCAGATCACTTGAGGACTGGAGTTAGAGACCAGCCTGTCCAACATGGTGAAACTCCTTTACTAAAAAAACTACAAACAAACAAAAAAAATTAGCTGAGTGTGGTGGAGCATGCCTCTGTAATCCCAGCTACTCCAGAGGCTGAGGCAGGAGAATTGGTTGAACCTGGGAGGCAGAGGTTGCAGTGAGCTAAGATTGCATTCCAGCCTGGGTGACAGAGTGAGATGAGACCCCATCTCAAAATAAATAAATAAATAAATAAATAAATACATACATACATACATAATGCTGTTTTTTCTTTTCTTTTTTGAGACAGAGTCTCACTCTGTCATCCAGGCTGGAGTGCAGTAGCGTGATCTCGGCTCACTGCAACCTCCACTTCCCGGGTTCAAACAATTTTCCTGCCTCAGCCTCCCAAGTAGCTAGGACTACATATGCCCACCACCATGCCCGGCTAAATTTTGTATTTTTAGTAGAGATGGGGTTTTGCCATGTTGGCCAGGCTGGTCTCGAACTCCTGATCTCAGGTGATCCACCCACCCCGGCCTCCCAAAGTGTTGGGATTACAGGGTGCCACTGTGCCCAGCCCATAATTCTGTTTTCATAATAACTAAAAATTATTTTAAAATCTACTTGCCAGTGTGTGGGGCCAGAATTTTTTTTTCTTTTCTTTTCTTTTTTTTCCAGCTATGGGACAGCAGTTCTTAAACCCGCTAGGAGAAAACAGAAGAATAGAAACCCCTAAGCAGTTGCTTTAAAACTGCACAGGGACGCATCAGCTATTGTTTCGAGATCATGGTCAAACTCTTCACTCCTTCAAGCTTTAAGTGCTTTTGGGGAAAGAGAAAAGGACTGTGGTTACATTCACCATTTAACAACAGATCCCATTTTCTTACGGAATTTTTAGAACTGGAAGTTGAGAGATCATTGCATCCAATTCCTTCATTTTACAGACAAGAAACAAAGTACCTAGAGTAAATTACTCCTGCAAGGTCACATGGCTAGTGATAGACATGTGGACTCTGGAATGGGCTTAGGATATTATTTTAGACCCAAGAAATCCAGAATCGACCATCACAGAGCCTGTGAAAGAAGATATATGGTGAGCCAGCCGCTGTCCCAGATTGTTTGCAGAACGGCACTCAGATCCCCAACACCTCTGCCAAATTAACAGCTGGTAACAGTTGGAAGCAACTGTCAGTTCTAGAATTTTGAGCTTATGAAAATCTTGTAATTAATGGTATTAGGGAACCGTTGCTCCTCCTGGTCCCATCCATCATTCATTGGAAGGTGACTGGGACCACTAGCTGTCGCATACAAGCTTAATCCTAGCTAGAACAGAAACTGGATTTGGAAGATGATAAAACCAATATCAACCAAGGGCAGATTGGCATTTAGAAGAAAAGTCTGCAGGAGAGCTTAACCTTGTCTTTTGAAAGAAGGGATAGGAGAAGAAGAAAAAGAAAGTATGGCAAAATAAGCTAAAAAGGCCCAACTACATATCTCCTGGGGGAAAAAAGTGACAATAAAAGGAAATGATAATGGAATATCTCTGGAAGGATAAGTAAGGAAGGAACTGATAATTGCCTCCCAGGAGGGAAACCAAGTGTTAGGAGTTTGGGCATGGAAAAGACTTCACTGAATTACCTTTCATACATTTAGGCTTTTGAATCATACATTTTTAATCTTTTTTTTAAAATGTAACTTTAAAAAAGAAAATAACAAGGGAATATTTCTTAAGATTATAGTGGTTTTAAAACAATCCTTGTGAAGGAAGGATAGGATCAGTTCAATAAAATCCAGACTTAACCTGGCTCTTTTGCAGAGATTCAGAGACAGCATGGCCAAGGGTGTGCTGCCTTAGGCCTGATGCAGGAACAGCTGGCTTCGACTGGAGCATTACATTCTGATTGAAGGCCAATGCACGTTCCTCATTCTTCTCTAATGTTTCTTGCTGTAATACCTCTCTGAAACTAAATATTTCCTTTTTTGGAGAAGGATTAAATATAGGCAGAATCCTATTTTAACAACTATCACCACACTGTCCAGTTCAATATAACAAAGTTCTTTTCCTAGCCAACAGCCCATACTAGCATGGTTTTGTTTATATTTTTTGGTATGTATAGAGGCAACAGTAAAGGATTTTATACACACACACACACACACACACACACACGTATATATCTTCTTGAGAAATTATATATATACATACATTTTATGCATGTATGTGTATATATACAGATGAAAATATTTCAGAGACATAGCATTATCAGGACTCAGAACTAACTATAGAGGTGGTGTCAAATAGCATATAAAGTAGTTAATGTGTTATGTAGGATGTAGCAGCAGAGATGAGTGTGTAGCACAGAAAAACACAGCATTCAAGAAGCAGTATAGCATAGCAATTTAAGGCATGGACTCTGGAGTCAGGCTACATATGAATCCCAGCTTTACCACTTGATTAGCAATGCAACTTTTAGCAAGTCATTTTCCCCTTTTGTGACTCAGTGTTAGCATCTGTAAAATGGGGCTAATGATAGCATAAGTCTCAAAGTCTTATTACAAAGATTAAGTTAGTTAATAGATGTCTGGAATAGTGATTGGTCACATGGTAAGAACTACCATAAATAAGTATTAGCTATTGTCATTCTACAAAGAGAACTTTGATAATGTGGACCATGCCACATTCCCTTTGGCCCCCAGATAGATTTTTTTTTTTTTTTTTGAGACAGAGTCTTGCTCTGTCACCCAGGCTGGAGTACAGTGGCGCCGTTTGGGCTCACTGCAACCTCCACCTCCTGGGTTCGAGAAATTCTCCTGCCTCAGCCTCCCAAGTAGCTAGGATTACAGGCACCCGCCATCATGTCCAGCTAATTTTTGTATTTTTAGTAGAGACAGGGTTTCACCATCTTGGTCAGGCTGGTCTCGAACTCCCGACCTCAGGTGATCCATCTACCTCGGCCTCCCAAAGTGCTGGGATTACAGGCATGGGCCACCGTGCCCAGCCCCCTAGATAAATATTATCACCCATGTGTGAGGATGTATTTTATCAGAGTCTCATCATGACCTGGGTGAAATAGTCCTCAAGACAATCCACTCCCTTTCTCTTAATTCCATGCTCACCCAGCAGTTGTCTTTATTACTAATCCAGCTTTCCAATTTTCTACCCCTAGGAAAGGGAAGTGTGGTGTTCTGAATGAAATGCAGGTCATCTATCTCCTGCAAAAGGTCATCTCCATTGAAAAATGAAAGCATTGGCATTCTGATTTACATGTCCATCTCATGTGAGTGTTCCACTGAGTCTGCACCTCTGGGAATACACTTATAAAGTCTAGTTTATGGACCTGCCCAAACTGAGGTCCAGAATCTGGATCTTGGTAAAGTCACCAAGGAAATGTCAACCCAGAGGCCTCTTGGGGGTGCATGAGCTGTGTTCTTCCCCAGGAAAGACCTCCGGTGCTCTTACTTCATCGTTGATGGCAACCACTCAACATGGTTGCAAAACATGGTGGTTACTTTGCTCAGAAAAAAAATTTTTTTTTTAAACAGTACTTGTGTATAGTAATTATTTTGAAAACCTGCAATTTGTTAAATACACATGTCAAAATTAAACTAAGCAAGGAGTTGGTAATTCTGTTTCTGAAAGCTAAAGCAGAAACAGAAGGGACTTTGAACTTTTTATAGAAAAGGATATTCTGAAATATCAAAAGTATATTCTGAAATATCCTTTCTATTTTCTCCTGCAAGCTCCTGGGTGTTTAGGGTTTGTGTTCCCAAATGATTCGTAAAATAGGTAGTTTTCTGGTGATAGTTGTTGGAATTGGGGTGATCAAAATTCCAGTACAGTTTCAAGTTCAGACATAATAGCAATACATTGGGATCCAGGCTCATTAGAAAGCCTCTGTGGCCTGCCATGGTCAATCTCATCTACAATAGTAGGTTGTGTTCTGGGAACCTGGTAAGCAGGTCACTGACAAACTGAAGTCTGTCCAAAGGCAGGCAACTCTAGGGAAGAACCATCTCACACATATCAGTCAGGATATTTTCAGTTGCAAGTAACAAAGCACTAGACTCAAACTGGGCTAAGCAAAATAGTATGTTGACTTGTAGTTGAAATCACATAATTCTAAAGTAGAATTGCCTTCAAACAAGGCCTTTCTTCTCATACAAGAAGTACTCAGATTTTTCTCTCCATCTCTCCACCTGCTTTTTGAATATTGGTGCATTTTTCAGTAGGCTCTTCCCTTCATGGTCCAAGATAAACGTCAACAATTCCCAAGGTTCCATGCATCCTCATCTTCACCCCACACTTTAAAACTATCATTTCTAGTTCACCCCTGAGATTTGTTCTGATTGGACTAGCGTTGATCAAGTGTCCACCCCTTGAACCCATCTCTGTGGCCAGGAAAAAGGAACGATAGCCTAGGTCATATACTCCACCCTTGGAGCAGGGGCAGAGTCAGCTTCTCCAGAACCAGATGGAGCCCCGCTCAGAAATCAGGGGCTATTGGGTCAAGGGAAGAAAAAAATAAATGCTGCAAGAGGTAACTAATAAAGGTATGTGCTTGATCATACGAGGAACATTTGAAGGAATAGTGTCCTTAGCTTAAAGATGAATAGACATGAAAAGGACAAGGTAGTTTAAGATTTGAAAGTGTTATTTGGAGGAAGCGTCAGATTTACTGTGTGTAATTCTAGTACTGATGGTTAAGGGGATGCAGATTTTGATTAAATTTAAGTAATTCACCCACAAGGGAAAAAATACATTCATAACAAAAGGGTATATTATGAAACTTGAAAATCTTTCTCCTCCTTTCCCTTTCCTTTCCTGCCTCTCACCTTCCTCCATCTCTACTCTCCAGAGATAGCCTGTGTGAACTGTTTAACGAAAAGAAAACCTTTCTTAAGATTAGAGCTACCCATAAGGACTTGGCTATGTCTTCAAGTATTGATTGCCCCATCATCTCAAGTAGGATATTTTAAAGATTTCTACTTTAGGTGGAATATGGACCAAGTCACTATAAGTAACTATAAGATACCAGTACTCCATTTTTGAGGCAGCATGACTTAAAGACGGGCTGAGACAATTTAAGGGGGAATTCCTGCTTATAAAAAGGTGAGAAAAATTTGAGACATTCAAGAGTAAATATTGTTTGTTGATGGAACAAAAGAACTGTGAAATCCCCTTTCCCTAAAACCAAAGCTATGATGGCAGATGGAATGAGTAACTAGGTAAGGAGGATGAATAACTAGGTAGGAGGATGAATGAAATTGAGATGAGTAGATGTGAAGTTCAGTCCTGTCAAAAAGCACTTGAGGCCAGGTGTGGTGTCTCATACCTGTAATCCCAGCACTTTGGGAGGCTAAGGTGGGCAGATCACTTGAGCTCAGGAGTTTGAGACTAGCCTAGGCAACATGCCAAAACCCTGTCTCTACTAAAAAAAAAAAAAAAAAAAAAAAAAAATTAGCCAGATGTAGTGGCATGTGCCTGTAGTCCCAGCTACTCAGGAGGTTGAGACAGGAGAATCGCTTAAGTGTGGGAGACGGAGGCTGCAGTGAGCCAAGATCGTGCCACTGCACTCCAGCCTGGGTGACAGGAGTGAAACCCTATCTCAAATAAAAAAATAAAAAGTGAAAAATTAAAAAGAAAAAAGCACCTTGAACCAGATCACAGATGCAGGAATGAGCAGAAAACTTAGGAGAGGCAACAACACTCACACAGATGGCCAAGGCCCCTCTGGCCTGTGAAAATACTGGTTTGACTGAATGTTATTTGGGATCTTTCCTTTACACATGAATAATTAAATGTATCCCATGTATGTTCTGAGCTAAAGCAGAAAGAACAGAAAAACACTTAACCTTTTCAAAATTATTTCACAGCTGAACTTGTTCCAATTGACTCCTGATATGTTAATGAAATAGTAGTGGTTGTCATTTAATGTTTCTAGTGTGATCAGAATCAGAAGCAAACGAAATATTCTGAATTTTCTCTTTCATAGACTGTAAGAGTAATAGAAATGAGATTATGTCTTGTCCAGGCCTAGTAAATAAGTAAATCTTAAATAAATGAATAAATACCATTCATTAGGGTTTGCCTCTGTTTCACATTCAATACATCTACCTAGCATTCAACACATCTGATTTAATGAAAACTTCAGAAAACCCTGTGAAGTTATTATTACCTCTATTTCACAGATGAGAAATGAGGCCTGGAAAAGTCAAATAACTTGTTCAAAATCACACAGCTAATAAGTGGTGGAACCAGGCCGGGCGCGGTGGCTCATGCCTGTAATCCCAGCAGTTTGGGAGGCTGGGGCTGGTGGATCACCTGAGGTCAGGAGTTCAAGACCAGCCTGGCCAACATGGTGAACCCCGTCTCTGCTAAAAATACAAAAATTAGCCAGGTGTGGCAGTGGGTGCCTGCAATTCCAGCTACTCAGGAGGCTGAGGCAGGAGAATCGCTTGAACCTGGGAGGCGGGTGTTGCAGTGAGCTGAGATCACACCATTGCAATACAGCCTGGATGACAGAGTGAAGCTGCGTTTCAAAAAAAAAAAAAAGTACTGGAACCAGAATTGGGACCCAATTCTATCTGACTAAATCCATATCCTTTCCACATCCCCCTGTCTTTATGTATGTGAATGTATAGACAGAGCATGTTCATGACTCTACATGGTCAAATATCATGCATGTGTACAGAGCAATCTCAAAATAGAAGTTTTTAGTTCTTTCTAAAAACAAATTTATCCAGGGGAGAAGATCATCATAAAGACATAAACATGCCTACTGGATTTTCAGAGGCTCCTATAAGTTCTTTAATACTTAGATATCTGGACTGCAAAATAGTCTTATTTTTTTCCTTTTGTTGTGGATTTATTTTTCAAGGAGTTGTATAGCAATGACACATTGGATTGTTATTTCTGAGGCTTGTTTTGAAATATGTATTGAAACCTATGAACTCTGCAGTTCCTGTGGTCACACATTTTTTCTTAATGACTGTTAAATGATGTGTTTTTTTTCAAAAGCTCTAAGAGAGCATGACCTTTACCCAACAGGTTTCAATTTTCAAAAAATATTTCCTTACTTTTACACTAAGCTAGATATTTATTTTCATTTCCCTAGTTTCCCATTCACTTTAGCAGATCTTCATGTGCTCAGCCTCTATGCCAAGGCCTGTGAGGGCTTCAAAAGGAGGACACATGGGTTGGTTAAGTTTTCCAGTATCAGCTCTTCAGAGAGCCTGGCCTTCACCACCCAAGCAGACACCCTCCCCCATGCCCACCCTCATCATTCTCTGAATAAGGTACGCTTTTCATCTCTTCATTTCTTCTCACAATCTGTAATTGTTTCATTTATCTACTTGTTTATTAACTGTTGTCCCCACATAAATTTTGCTTTTTTTTTTTTTTTTTTTTTTTTTTTGATGCAGAGTCTCGCTCTGTTGCCCAGGCTGGTGTGCAGTGGTGTGATCTTGGCTTCCTGCAACCTCTGTCTCCCAGGTTCAAGCAGTTCTCCAGCCTCGGCCTCCTGAGTAGCTGGAATTACAGGCATGTGCAACCACATTCAGCTAATTTTTTGTATTTTTAGTAGAGATAGGGTTTCGCCATGTTGGCCAGGCTAGTTTCAAGCTCCCAGCCTCAGGTGATCTACTCTCCTCAGCCTCCCAAAGTGTTGGGATTACAGGCATGAGCCATCACGCCTGGCCGACATGACACAAGTTCTGAGAGGGCAGAGATCTCATCTGTCTTCCTCACTGCTGTGTCCCCCAGCAACTTAGCATAGTACTTGGCACAGAAAGCTCTGAATAAAAATTGCTGACTGACTGAATGAGTAAATGGATGTCTCCAGAACCTAGCAATGCCTACCACATGGTAGGCGCTCCATGAACCTTTTCTCATAATGAATGAAGTCATCAAGAAAGGAGACAGGATTTGACCTGTGATGTGAGGATGTGAGGTAATGATCGTGAAGTTCAGTCCACTCAAAAAGCACCTGAGGCCAGGTGCGGTGGCCTATAGAGGGGCATTCAACCTTTTGTCTGTACAGAACAGGCATTTTTTTTTTTCTGGCAAATGCTCCTTAAAACCATGTGGGGGCTACTAATCATGAAGTACTTCAGAGGTATGGCACATGCTCAAGTTGAGTTAATCAGTGTTCTTCTTTCTTCTGGGCACATTGACTGGTCTCTAGATAGGCACAAAGTCCCGCCCAGGTCATTCAGTGTCTTTTTACCACTCATTTTCAGACTCAAGCGGAAGAAAGATATTCCTTTTTTCTCTAGTCAGAGAGCTGCAAGGATGTGTGCCCAAGGCAGCTATGTCTTCAAAGCTGGTCTGAGAGGATGATGCCAACAGGCAGAAATTCAAAGGCAGGGGATGGTAAGCAAGCCCCAATGGCCAAGGGCCAGAGGACTTTTTCAAGGCTTAACTGTTCAGCTTCAAATCTGTGAGTGAATCTTGTGTCTTATCATAAATAACCTCCCTAAAAAACAAAAACTTAAGTGATTAGGTTGAATCTGAGAATCCCAAGTAATACAAATATGGGTAGGTGAACAGGAGTAGGGATGAGCTTTTGGATAAAAGCACGAAGGTTAGATTAAATATGATTTTTAGGAAAGTTCATAATGAAACGCTTAAATGATAGGTGTTTATGACCTTCAGCCAATGTATATTACTGCTATCTCTAGTATGACCCTCATTTATACAGTTAGCTTTTTCCATTAAAATAGGAAATGGAATGTGATGACATGAGGAAATACTTAGGATATAAAACTAAGTGGAAAAAGATAAATATGAATACAGATACAGCTAGAGTACAACTATATAGAGGACAATGATGCAGTGAAATTGCACAGACTTAGAGTCATGGATTTTGATTTGAATCCAGTTTCAATTTCCTAGGGTGTGAACTTGAGCATATTAATATCTTTGAGCTTTTGTTTTTCTCATCTGTAAATCAGGGATAATATCTTTGAGGGGTTTTGAGAGATAAAATGAAATATAGTATGTAAAATCCCTAGCGCAGTGCCTGGCATTGAATAGATGTTAGTGTTCCATCCTGTTACAAAATAGTAAAACTTGCTGCCTAGAAAACTAGAAGAAAAAAGTCTAAATGTTAACAGTACTTGTGTTTGGATTCCTCCAACAAACGTTTATTCAAGACCAACAATGTACAGGCACTAAGGATAAAACAGTGAACAAAGTGGACAAAGTCCTTGACCTCATGGAGCCTAAATTCTGGGTAGGAATATAGACAATGAACAAAGACATAAATTAAACAGTGATTCACACATCCTGAAGTGCTAAAGATCAGAAGAACCCAGCATTTGTGTATGTGGAAGTGGTAGTGCAACAAGTTTAAACCACGTGTCCTGAAAAGCCTCACTGAGAAAGTGATATTTGAGCAAAGACTTGAAGATGAAGGATGGTAGCACTATGGATACTTTTTCCTTTTTTCTTATATCTACTTCTCTGATTTTTAAAATGAGCATTTACATTTTATTGTTTTTAATTTTTTATTTTGAAAAATGGTTTAACTTTTCTAGCCTTATTAAGGTATAATCAAAAAATAAAAATTGTATACCTCTAACATGTACAATGTGATGATTTTATCCATATAATAAAGATTTGATTATATGTATGTTTTATATGTATACACACACAGTGAAATGATTACCACAATCAAGCTGATTAACATATCCATTACCTCACATTGTCACCTGTGGTGAGAACACTTAAGATCTATGCACACAGCAAATTTCAAGTACACAATAGGTCGGGTGTGGTGGTTCATGCCTGTAATCCCAGCACTTTGGGAGGTTGAGGTGGGAGGATCACTTGAGGTCAGGAGTTTGAGACCAGACTGGCCAACATGGTGAAACCCCATTTACTAAAAATACAAAAATTAGCTGAGTGTGGTGGAGCATGCCTGTAGTCCCAGGTACTCAGGAGGCTGAGGTGGCAGAATCACTTGAGTCTGGGAGGCAGAGGTTACAGTGAGCTGAGTTTGCGCCACTGCACTCCAGCCTGGGTTACAGAGCAAGACTCAGTCTCAAAAAAAAAAAAAAAAAAGTATGCAATAGTCACCATGATGTATGTAAATTCCCAGAATTTATTAATCTTAGAACTGAAAGTCTGTACCTTCAGTTAACATCTCCCTCCACAACCCTTCCCCCTCGCCTCAGCCCCTGGCAACCACCATTCTACTCTCTGCTTCTATGAGTTTGACTAGTATAGATTCCACATATAAGTGAGATAATATAGTATTTGTCTTTCTATATCTAGCTTAATTCACTTAGCATAATCTCCTCCAGGTTCAAGCCTGTTATCACAAATCGTGGGATCTTCTTCCTTTTTCATGGCTGAATGATATTCCAATATGTGTGTGTGTGTGTCTGTGTGTGTGTATGTGCACGTGTGTGTGTATGTGCGTGTGTATAACATTTTCTTTATCCATTCATCTGTGGACAGACACTTGTATTATTTCCATATCTTGGCTACTGTGAATACTGCTCAATGAGAATGGGAGTGCAGATACAGGTTGAATATACCTTATCTGAAATGTTTGGGGCCAGAAGTGTTTTGGATTTCAGATTTTGAAATATTTCCAGATTATGAGATATCTTAGGGATGGGAGCCAAGTCTAAACACAAAGTTCATTTATGTTTCATATATACATTATACACATAGCCTGAAGGTAATTTTATACAATATTTTAAATAATTTTGTGCACAAAACAAAATTTGTGTACACTGAACCATCAGAAAGCACAAGTATCACTATCTCAGCCACCCAAGTGGACAATCTGTGGTTGTTTGGCATCATCATCATTCCTGACTCTGAATTTATATGCTACCAATAAGCAACCATTTTCTCAGACTTATTCACACATTAGTACTTACAATAAAAAATGTGAAATATCATTAATACAGTGAAAAAATAATGTGTTCAGGGAAACTAAGCAGCACAGTGGCATCGCCAGAATACCTGTATCAGCTGTGAAACAATGGTAACGACAAAGGAAGCAAATGTTTTTGCTTCTCTGTCTACAATGCTGCGTTTCAATTAAAAAGTTACAACTTTACACTGTATTTCTTTTTCTTTTTCTTTCTTTCTTTTTTTTTTTGAGACAGAGTTTCGCTATTGTTGCCCAGGCTGGAGGGCAACGGCGCGATCTCAGCTCACCACAACCTCCGCCTCCCGGGTTCAAGCGATTCTCCTGCCTCAGCCTCCCAAGTAGCTGGGATTACAGGTGTGCCACCACGCCCAGCTAATTTTGTATTTTTAGTAGAGACGGGGTTTCTCCATGTTGGTCAGGTCTCAAACTCCCGACCTCAGGTGATCCACCCACCTTGGCCTCCCAAAGTGCTGGGATTACAGGCGTGAGCCACCACGCCCAGCCTGTATTTCTTTTTTTTAGGTGAGAAGAAACATCAAAAGAAGTTGAAGGACCAGGAAGTGGGTCCTCTAGGGATGAGGGGGCATCTGCTGGCTTTTTAAAGTGTTTCCTCCAGATTAATCTGCTTCATTGACCATGGTTTTTGCCTTAGAAGTCTCTCTTGATTTTATAAACAGACATGATTTCTTGTTCTATTATGAATGCACACTGCTCAAATCCTTCAATAAGCTCATCACACATTTGCACCATGTCATCTGTAGGCACTTTTTCTGCAGTGTTAACAACATCATCTTCGTCATCACTATGATCACAATCACCTTGATTCAGAACCATTTTCGCTATTTTACCATAAATCTGTGAATGAACAACTGGAGCCTCGGTATTGATGTTAAAAAGTCTTCAATATTCACTTCTTCCAGCTTACTTAGAGACTCCAAAAGTATATTTTTTGCATATGTAAGGAGGTCAGGCATCATTTTATTCTAACTTGACATATGGAATCCTTTAGAGTCACCATCTTGTTTATCATCATCACTGAACATAGTTGTAGGACACAGGTTATGCCAGGCCAGTGACTTTAGTCACTGTGTGCCAAGCATTGCAAAAGCATATATAGTATACATAGCTAAACTCCTTTTGAAAACCTTCCACACCCACACCTCTGTCCACTGCTGTTAGAATGCTGTTTAAGAAAGTGTTTTTATATTTACTCTTATCTAAGAATTCCCTGGTCATGTGGTTGAAATAATGGAGTCACATTTGGGGGAAAGTACGTGGCATAAACATTATTTTTGGTGAGAATTTCAGCTGGCGGATGAGAATGAGCATAACAGTTGTCAAGGAATAATGAAATCTTCCAATTGCCATCCAGCCCAGCTTCCCAGCAGTGAGCACATGCCACTGGTACAAAATGTTTGTGAAATCAATCAGAAAAGATATTCCTGGTGATCCATGCCTTTTTCTTAATATAATCATAGATTGGTATGAAATTCACTTTTTGGAAACAGTGAGGATGCAAGCTTTTCCCTACCTCAGCAAGTTTACACTTATGTAACTTATGCATACATGCTGCATTGGAACATCCCAGCATAGTTATTCTGTCCTTGGCATCCTTAATTCCTGTAGGAGCTGTCCGATTAGCAGTGGTCAGTGTCTTTCTGGGGCAACAATGCCAAAATAGCGATGTCTCATTAGCATTATTGCTATAGTTTGGATGTTTGTCCCCTCCAAATCTTATGTTGAAGTTTGATCACCAGTGTTGGAGGTGGGAACTAATGGGAGGTGTTTGAATCGGGCAGTGTGGGGCGGGGGTTTGCAGATCCCTGGTAAATAGATTCATGGCTTCCCTGAGGGGAGGAGGCATGAGTGGGTTCTCACTCTATTAGAGAGAGCTGATTGTTAAAAAGAGCCTGGGACCTCCCCAACCCCTGCTTCTTCTCTTGCCATGTGATTTCTGCACAAGATGGCTCTCGCTTCACTTTCCACTATGAGTGGAAGCAATCTGAGGGCCTCACCAGAAGCAGATGCTGGCACCGTATTTTTTGTGCAGCCTGAAGACCCATGAGCCAAATAAACCTCTTTACTTTGTAAATTCCCCAGCCTCAGGCATTCCTTTATAGCAACACAAAATGTACTTAGACAATTACAAGCTTGTTCTGGCATCAGATTTTCATCAGTGATGACCTTGACAAATTCATCAATGAATTTCTCTACTGCTTTGTGATGAGCAGATGCTTTACCACAAAAAAACTTCAAAAATTTAATACCATATCTTTTTAAAAATTTCTGCAACCAGCCTATTGAATATTCACAGCTCCCTCCAATTTTCAGTTCACTGTGATAGATGTTTGCTTGTTTCATGATCAGCATACCATTAAGTGGCATGTGTTCACTGCAATGCTGACAGATCCACTCTTTCAATACATAATCGAGATCTTCATTTTTAGCTTTATGCTTTTCCATTTTTCATAACTTCTATTCATCACTTTAAGCATAGAACTTCAACAGCTTATCCTTCTGTTTCTTCAGGTCTTATATGGTGGCCATTCCAACACAATACTCTTCTATAAGACATTTCACACTTACACTGCTGTCCAGTTTCTCCAATAGCTTGACTTTCTTTCTTTCTTTTTTGTTGAAACAGAGTATCTCTCTGTCTCTCAGACTGGAGTGTGCAATGGCGCGATCTCTGCTCACTGCAACCCTCACCTCCCAGGTTCAAGCAATCCTCCCCTCTCAGCCTCCCAAGTAGCTAGGATTACAGGTGTGCATCACCATACCTGGATACTTTTTTTTTTTTTTGGATTTTTAGTAGAAACATCATTTCACCATGTTGGCTGGGCTGATCTTGAACTCCTAACTTCAAGTGATCTGCCCACCTTGGTCTCCCAAAGTGCTAGGATTATAGGTGTGAGCCACTGTGCCTGGCCTGCAACCTCCTTCTCCCAGGCTCAAGCCATCCTCCCACCTCAGCTTCCCACCATCATGCCTTACAAATTTTTGTAATTTTTTTTTTTTTTTTGATGGAGTCTTGCTCTGTCACCCAGGCTGGAGTGCATTGGTGTGATCTTGGCTCACTGCAACCTCCACCTCCCAGGTTCAAGTGATTCTCCTACCTCAGCCTCCAGAGTTTCTAGACTACATCACACACAGAGTTAACTTGAAATGGACTAACTAGTGGAAAAATTAGTCCATTTTGAGTTAACTCTGTGTGTGATGTAAGATAATGGTCCAATTTCATTATTTTGCATGAGAATATTCAGTTTTCCTCATGCCATTTATTGAAGAGATGATCCTTTCCCTATTATGTATTCTTAGTGCCTTTATTAAAGATTAGTTGACTATATATGCATGTAGTTTTTCCTGGGCTCTCTATTGGTCTATGTGTCTGTTTTTATGCCATTGCCATACTGTTGATTCCTATAGTTTTGTAATATTATTTGAAATCAAGAAATGTGTGCCTCTACCTTTGTTCTCTTTGGCCATTCGGGGTCTTTCATGGTTCCACATAAATATTCAGATAGTTTTTTTCTATTTCTGTGAAAAATGTCATTGGAATTTCATTGAGATTGCATTGAATCTGTAGAGCACTTTGGGTAGTATGGCTATCTTAACAATATGAATTCTTCCAGTCCGTGAACACAGAATTTCTATCTTTCCATTTTATTTGTGTCTTCTTTCATTTCTGTCATCAATGTCATAATTTTCCGTGTACAAATCTTTCACTTCCTTGGTTTAAGTATTTTATTTTTTCTCATGCTATTGTAAATGGGATTGTTTTCTTCTTTTTCAGATAGTTTGTTATTAGTGTATAGAAATGCAACTGATTTTTGTATGATGATTTTGTATCCTGGCACTTTACTGAATTTTAAAATTATTTCCAACAGTTGTTTTGGAGGAGTCTTTAGGGTCTGCCACATATAAGATCATGTCATCTGCAAACAGAGACAATTTCACTTCTTCCTTTCCTATTTGGATGGCTGTTACTTCTTTTTCTTGCTTAATTGCTCTGGCTAGAACTTCCAGTACTATGTTAAATAGAAGTAGCGAGAGTAGGCATCCTTGTCTTGTTCTTGATCTTAGAAAGGAAGCTATCAGTTTTCCACCAGTGAATATGATGTTACCTGTGTGTTTGTAATATATGGCCTTTATTATGTTGAGGTACCTTCCTTCTATACCTAATTTGTAGAGAATTTTTATCATAAAAGGATGTTAAATGCTTTCTCTGCATCAATTGAGATGATCATATGATTTTTACCTTTATCCTGTTAATGTGGTTTATTACATTTATTGATTTGTGTATGTTGAACCATCCGTACATACCAAGGATAAATTCCACTTGATCATAGTGTATGCTCCTTTTAATGTGCTGTTGAATTCAGCCAGTTAATATATATTTTTTTAATTTAACATTTTTTTTTGAGACAGAGTCTCACTCTGTCACCCGGGCTGGAGGGCCATTGTGCAATCTCAGCTCACTGCAACCTCTGCCTCCCGGGTTTAAGTGATTCTTGTGCCTCAACCTCCCAAGTAGCTGGGACTTCAGGCATACATCACCTTGCCCAGCCAATTTTTGTTTTGTTTTGCTTTTTGAGACAGAGTCTTGCTCTGCCACCCAGGCTGGAATGTAGTGATGCAATCTCGGCTCACTGCAGTCTCCGCCTCCTGGGCTCAAGCTATTCTCATGCTTCAGCCTCCCAAGTAGCTGGGATTACAGATGTGCACCACCACACCCAGCTAACTTTTCTAATTTTAGTAGAGACATGGTTTCACCATATTGGCCAGGCTAGTCTCAAACTCCTGACTTCAGGTGATCCACCCACCTCGGCCTCCCAAAGTGCTGGGATTACAGGTGGGAGTCACCGCACCTGGCCCAATTTTTGTATTTTCAGTAAAGACCGGGTTTCACTATGTTGGCCAGGCTGGTCTAAACTCTTGGCCTCAAGTGATCTGCCCACCTTGGCATCCCCAAGTGAGCCACTGTGCCTGGCCTCAGCCTGCAAAAATTTTATTGAGAATTTTTCCATCTGTGTTCAGTATAAGCCTGTAAGTTTCTTTTCTTTTAGTGTTCTTATCTAACTTTGATGCAAGGGTAATACTGGCCTTGTAAAAAGAGTTTGGAAATGTTCCTCCCTCTTGATTTTTTTTTTTAGAAAAGTTTTAGAAGAATTGGTGTTTATTCTTCTCTGTTTGGTGGAATCCACCTAATCTTTTGTATTTTTGTGGTATCAGTTGTAACTATTCTTTTGTCATTTCTGATTGTAATTTTTTGAGTCATCTTTCTTTTTTTCTTGGTTAGTTTACTAAAGGTTTGTCAATTTTGTTTATCTTTTTAAAAAATCAACTCTTAGTTTCTTTGATCTTTTAAATTGTCTTTCTGTTCTCTATTTCATTTACTTCTGCTCTAATTTTTGTTATTTTTCTCCCTTCTGCTAACTTTGGGCTTAGTTTGTCTTTTTTTTTTTTTGAGACAGAGTCTCACTCTGTTGCACAGGCTAGAGTAAAGTCGCACAGTCTCAGCTCACTGCAGCCTCTGCCTCCTGGCTTCAAGGAATTCTCCTGCCTCAGCCTCCTGAGGGTGCCTGCCACCAGGCCTGGCTAATTTTTGTATTTTTAGTAGGGATGGGGTTTCACCATGTTGGCCATGAACTCCTGACCTCAAGTGATCTGCCCACCTCGACCTCCCAAACTGCTGGGGTTACAGGCATGAGCCACTGCACCTGGCTGTGAGATCTTTCTTTTTAAAATTTAGGTATTTATCTCTATAAATTCCTCTGTTAGAACTGCTTTTGTTGCATCCCATGTTTGGTATGTTATGTTTCTATTTCTGTTGGTTTGAAGACAGTTTTTTAAATCTTCTTTGACCCACTGGTTGTTCAAGAGCATGTTGTTTAATTTCTATTAATACTATTTGTGAATTTTCCAATTTTCCTTGTTATTAATTTATAGTTCTATATTATTGATTTCAGGAAAGATACTTGATGTGATTTCAATCTTCTTTAATTTGTTAAGACTTGTGCTATGGCCTAATATATGATCTATCCTAGAGAATATTCCATTGCTCTTGAGAAAAATGTGAAATCTGCTGCTGTTGAGTGGAATGTTCCATGTGTGTCTGTTAGGTCCATTTGGTTTATAGCATTATTCAAGTCTACTGTTTCCTTATTGATTTTTTGTCTGAATGATCTATCCATTGTTGAAAGTGGCATATGGCCAGGCATGGTGGCTCATGCCTGTAATCCCAGCACTTTGAGAGGCCGAGGCAAGCAGATCACCTGAGGTCAGGAATTTGAGACCAGCCTGGCCAACATGGTGAAACCCTGTCTCTACTAAAAATACCAAAATTAGCTGGGCATGGTGGCACAATTCTGTAATCCCAGCTACTTGGGAGGCTGAGGCATGAGAATTGCTTGAATTCGGGAGGCCGAGGTTACAGTGAGCTGAGATCACACCACTGCACTCCAGCCTGGGTGACAGAGCAAGACTCTGTCTCAAAATAAAAAATTAAAAAAAAAAAACAAAAAACAGTGGCATACTGAATTCTCCTATTATTGTATTGCTATCTATTTCTCTCTTTAGTCTTGTTAATATTTCCTTTATGTGTTTAGGTTCTCTGACATTGGGTGCATATATATTTATAATTTTTATATTCTCTTGATGAATTGACTCCTTTATCATTGTTTAATGACCTTCTTGGTTTCTTGTGACAGATTTTGACTGAAAGTCTATTTTGGCTGATATAAGTATAGCCACTTCTGCTCTCTTTTGGTTACTATTTGCAAAGGATATATTTTCCCATCCATTCACTTTTAGCCTATGTAGGCTAAAGTGAGTCTATTGTAGTCAGTATATTATTGGTCTTGTTTTATTTTTTAATTTTTTTTTTTATTTTTTGAGATGGAGTTTTGCTCTTGTTGCCCAGGCTGGAGTACAATGGCATGATCTCGGCTCACTGCAACCTCCGCTTCCCGGGTTCAAGCCATTCTCCTGCCTCAGTCTCCTGAGTAGCTGGGATTACAGGCATGTGCCACCACGCCCAGCTAATTTTGTATTTTTAGTAGAGATGGGGTTTCTCCATGTTGGTCAGGCTGGTCTCAAACTCCTGACATCAGGTGATCCGCCTGCCTTGGCCTACCAAAGTGCTGGGATTACAGCCATGAGCCATCATACCTGGCCTCGTTTTATTTTTAAAATCTATTCAACCACTCTGTGTCTTTTGATTGGAGAATTTAAACCTTTATATTTAAAGTAATTCTTGATAGGTAAAGACTTACTATTGCCATTTGTTAATTGTTTTCTGACAGCTTTGTAATTCCTTTGTTCTTTTCTTTCTCTCTTATTGTCTTTCTTTGTGATTTAATTTTTTGGTAGTGCTATGCTTTGATTATGTACCCTTTTATCCATTATATATCTGCTAGATTTTTTTTTCTTTTTGGTTGCCATGAGGATTACATAAAATATTTTATAGTTATAATGGTCTATTTTAACCTGATAACAAATTAACTTCAATTACATACAAATACTTTACATTTTTACTTCTCTTCCACCTTGCATTTTATGCTACTGATGTCACACTTAACATCATTTTATTGCGTCTATTAACAAATTATTGTAGCTATAGTTATTTTAAACATTTTTGTCTTTTTTTTTTTTTTTTCTGAGTCAGAGTTTCACTCTTGTTGCCCAGGCTGGAGTGTAATGGTGCAATCTTGGCTCACTACAACCTCTGCCTCCCAAGTTCAAGTGATTCTCATGCCCTGGCCTCCTGAGTAGCTGGGATTACAGGCGTGTGCTGCCACCCCTGGCTAATTTTTTGTATTTTTAGTAGAGATGAGGTTTCACCATGTTGGCCATGCTAGTCTTGAACTCCTGACCTCAGGTGATCTGCCTGCCTCGGCCTCCCAAAATGCTGAGATTACAGGCGTGAGCCACCGTACCTGGCCATATTTTTGTTTTTTAACTTTTATACTAGAAGTAAAAATGATTTACCTACTGCTATTATAGTATTAGAGCATTCTGAACTTGACTATGTATTTACCTTTACCAGTGACTTTTGTGCTTTCATATATTTTTATGTTGCTACTTAGCATCCTTTTGTTTCAACTTGCAGAACTCCCTTTAGCATTTTTTGTAAGGCAGTTTTAGTGGTGAGCTTTGTTACATTTTGTCTGGGAATGTCTTTATCTCTTCTTTATTTCTGAAGGATGGCTTTTCTGGCTTTAGTATTTTGGTTGGCATGCTTTTTTTTTTTTAATTTTGTTTTTGTTTTTTAAGCACTTTGAATATATCTGCTGAGAAATCTCTGATAGCCTAATTGATTTCCCTTGTATGTGAAGAGTTTCTCTTGCTGCTTTCAAAATTTTCTCTGTGTTTGATTTTTGATGATTTGACCATATGTCTTGGAATAGTCTTCTTTGGATTGATCTTGGGAATTTTGAGATTTTATGAGTCTTGATGTCCACTTCCCTCCCAAGATTTGGGAACTTTTCAGCCACTATTGTTTTAAATAAGATTTCTACCTCTTTCTCTTTTTCTCTTCTTCTGGGACTTCCATAATGCACACATTTATTCAATGGTGTCCCATGGGTCTTGTATTCTTTTGTCACTTCTTAAATTCTTTTTTCCTTTTCATTCCTCTAATTGGCTCTGGTCCCATGTGTCTCCTCAAGGGTCTACAGTTGGATCCTCAGATAAAGGGCCTGTTACCAGGTGAATGAATGGGTGTGGCTCCCTCCAGGTCTCTGGTAGGACTCCTACTAGGTCACTGGATGGGTCCCTGGACAGGCGGTGATGACTCCAAATGTTAGCTGAGAGGGGCTGGAACTGAGTCACATGGCTGTTTCAGGATCCACAGCTGTGATGGAGGTCTAACTGGGGACTTGACAAGAGAAAGTCTTTATCTGCTTAAACCAGTGTGTAAAGACTGGCAGAAGTGACTGCACCTTCAAATGCACAGACATGAATGCAAGGCTACATGAATCATGAAGAAACAGGCAAACATGACACCATCAAAGGAAACTAATAAAGACCTAATAACTAGCTCCAAAAGCAGGCTAGAGCTGGGTCACAGGGCTGCTTCAGGACCTGCAGTTGGATTGAAGTCAGTGGGGCTGCCTCCAGGGGGACTGCCCTGCCAAAGACAGCTCCTGAACCATGGCTGAGAGGGGCTGAAGCCGGGTCATGGACTGCTTTAGGGTCCATAGCCAGGACCCAGGTCAGCCAGCCTATTATCCAAAGCATGGGCAGGGGTGTCTCCTCCTGAGTCCCTTGATGGATGGTGCTGGTGGGGAGGACCTAAGCCAAATAGGGCTATATCTCAGTCCATTGGCAGATGGGGCTATTTCTGGGTTTATAGCCAGGATCATGGTCAGTGAGCCTTCCACCTGGACATGGGCCTGCCTTCTTAAAATGGCTTACCTAGGTCTTGGGTTCCACCTGAGGTTTGCAACCTCCTACGTAGATCCCAAAGCTCTCACAAAGGCACTTTTGTCTGTGGATGGCTGCCAAATCATTGTTGCTATGGGGGGATATGAGCAGGGACCTCCTATTCAAATATTTTGTTGGCATCATTCTACAAACTGATTATTTTTTTGAGACCGAGTCTCACACTGTCGCCCAGGCTGGAGTGCAATGGCACGATCTCGGCTCACTGCAACATCTGCCTCCCAGGTTCAAGCGATTCTGCTGCCTCAGCCTCTCTAGTAGCTGGGATTACAGGCATGCACCACCATGCCCGGCTAATTTTTTGTATTTTTAGTAGAGAACGGGTTTCACTATGTTGGCCAGGCTGGTCTCAAACTCCTGACCTTGTGATCCACCTGCCTTGGCCTCCCAAAGTGCTGGGATTACAGGTGTGAGCCACTTCGCCTGGCCAAAATGATTTTTAGATTTAAAAAATATAAATGAGGCTGGGCGCAGTGGCTCACGCTTATAATCCCAGCACTTTGGGAGGCCGAGGTGGGCAGATCACCTGAGGTCAGGAGTTCAAGACCAGCCTGGCCAAAATGGTGAAACCCCGTCTCTACTAAACATACAAAAATTAGCTGGCATGTGCAAATGCCTGTAATCCCAGCTAGTCGGGAGGCTGAGGCAAGAGAATCACTTGAACCCAGGAGGTGGAGGTTGCAGTGAGCAGAGATTGTGCCATTGCACTCCAGCCTGGGGGACAAGAGCGAGACTTCATCTCAAAAAAATATAAATATAAATATAAATATAAATATATAAATATAAATATATAAATATAAATATATATATATCCAAAACAATTTTACTAAAAGCATTTATTATTATAACTAATTTATTCGTGATTCCTAGCTCTAAAAAATTTTTCTTTATCACTATTTTCAAAACATCATAGCATTCCTAGAAGGCAAGTAATATTTTATCCCTATTTTACAAATTTAAAATGAACTTCCTCAAGGTCATACAATTAGTAAATGTTAGAATGAATTCTAGAGTCCAGACTTTCATGCTGCAGATCCCATGTTCTAGGGTAAATTCATATTTCTTACAGTCCCTATACACAGAATCATCTATCTTCTCTCAAAATTTACCTATTCAGCTATACCTTCAGAGGCACTACTCAATTTTAACAATTTAACAGTTATTTATTGCAGCCACTGGAGTGGGAACTACAACAATATAATGGTCCCTACACATATGGGAATATATGTAAATTTTTTGAGTGGGGTTGTGTTATTTAAAACGCCATATGGAAATGACCTTTATGTGATATTTAGTATGATGCTTTTTAAGTGGTACCCTATTCCAAATGTTTACTGCTAAAATGTTTTCCCTAGAATGAAAATTGAAAACAAGAGGGCACTAACATCTATCAGTGTTATGTTCTGGGATGATGTGAAAATAGCCATTGTGCTCATTGACACTTTTTACAAAAGGGAGAGTTAGAAAATGTGCCTTGAGCTTGTTAGATGTGAGGGAGTAAATCAGATATTCCATTTTTCTAAGAGCCTAATCCCCAGCAGGTATTTCTCATCCTGACTTCCTTTGTAATTTTTCTGCTCACTTCTGTGACAGTTTTAGCTGAAACCCAGAATTTATGTTTCAATGCAGAATCAAAACATACAAATAAACTAAATACAACAGGGCACTATAACTAAAATATATAGTTATAAAATATACTCATAAAAATATTGGCTTCGAGTTGATAGAATTAACTTTATGGTCTTCAACAAAAACACACTTTTTCTATTTGTTAGAGAAATCCTGAAAGTATCTGAGTCTTTGAAATAGTAGTACTAAAACAAAGTAAGAATGACCTCTTGTTCCTGTTATTCAACACCACCAATGCTACAACCAAAAAAAAAAAAAAAAAAAGAAAAGAAAGAGAGACAATAAGAGAAAAGAAATTTTCTTAGCTGAGAACCAAAATAGTTGCCTCAAGAAGTCTGCAGTATTTTCTAATCTATATAGTTATGGCTGTAAATTAAAGGAAATAAAATGTGTTAAAACACACAACATGACACAAAGTAGATGTTCAATACCTGTTAGTTGAATCTTCATTTGATTCTAAATCTGAATGGATGGTAGAAAATTTGTGAACTGTAGCACTCATCAATTCTGCCATTTACAAAACCTCTTTTGTGACTATTTCCTCAACTGATACGACTTCATTGACTTAGGTGTTAAACCCAATAGAACATTTTTTTTTTTTTTTTTTTTGAGATGGAGTCTCGCTGTCTCCCAGGCAGGAGTGCAGTGGCGCGGTCACGGCTCACCGCAAGCTCCGCCCCCCGGGTTCACACCATTCTCCTGCCTCAGCCTCCCGAGTAGCTGGGACTACAGGCGCCTGCCACCACGCCCGGCTAAATTTTTTTTGTATTTTTAGTAGAGACGGGGTTTCACCGTGTTCGCCAGGATGGTCTCGATCTCCTGACCTCGTGATCCGCCCGCCTCGGCCTCCCAAAGTGCTGGGATTACATTGTTTTTTAATTAAGCACTTAATATATTCCTAGCCTCATGTATGTTTTAGAAGATTTGTATTAATTAGCTTCCCTTTAAATCTCTCTTTTCCTCTCAAACCTCAGACAAGAGTCAGTCAGGGTGGAAGCTTTTTCAGGTTAGGATCTATTTATAAAAGGCATGGTGTGTTTAAACTTGTGTCATTGTCACAACTTGTAGGAAAATGTTCAAATATTTAAAAAGCAAACTAGATCATTTGAAGGGCAAAGAGAAATAGCTTTGATCCATAGATTTTACCAAGAACTATTTGCATGTTCTATTTTGCAGAGCCTGCACATTTATCTGCAGATTATGAAATGTTTTGTGAACACTAAAGCAGAAAACTCCCCAGAGTAGACAATCTTCTGTCTTCCCTTGTTACTTCTATCTTGCAGAACTTCTCTAAGCTGTAATTCTTGCTTCTGTGCTCTTTAGATGTCAGCAGTGGTAAGAATAGACTCTTTACATAAAGGGAGGAAGATCTGACTGCGAACAGGAGAAGCGGCATATGCCATGCTACCCAAAGGGCAGTTTCTCTCTCTCTCTCTCCTTCCTTCCTTCCTTCCTGCCTCCCTCCCTTCTCCTTTCTCGTTCTCTCTTTCTTTCTTCTTCTTTTATTTTTTTATTTTTTTTTATTTTTGAGATGGAGTCTCACTCTGTTGCCCAGGCTGGAGTGCAGTGGCACTGCACTCCTGCGCCTCCTGGGTTCAAGCACTTCTCTCACATCAGCCTTCTGAGTAGCTGGAATTACAGGCCTGCACCACCATGCCCGGCTAATTTTTCTGTTTTTAGTAGAGATGGGGTTTTGCCATTTTGGCCAGGCTGGTCTTGAACTTCTGACTTTAAGTTATCTGCCACCTTGGCCTCCCGAAGTGCTGGGATTCCTGGGATTACAGGCATGAGCCACTGCACCTGACTGAGGACTCCACTTTTTAAATCTCCTTTTTAAAAGAAAAAAAAAATTGAGCTCAACTGCATGAACTCCACTTTTTAAATCTCTGTGGAAGTAAGAGTAAGAGTACCTATGGGGAAACTCATGGCAGGAAAGGTTAAAACCAAAGGGGCTACTTCCCTTCATCTCCCCACCAGAAACTAAAAACTTCAACAACACTTGAATCAAGGGGCTTTGAAATTGTCTGATCCTCCATCAGTTCTTTGGATGAGAAATTGGTCTGGGCCAATTCCTTGGTAGAGTAGATCTACTGAGGTTATTTCAAATACAGCAACAATCCAGGACTAGCCCACGTTAGATAACTGTTGCTTTTATAAACTTATTTTGTGTGTGGTAAAATACACATATCATAGCATTTCCTATCTTAATAATTTTTAAGCATACAAGTCAGTGGCATTAATTACATTCATAACAAGTTCATTTATTCATTCATTCAACATATCTTAGTTGAGTGTATGCTATAGGGCATGCATACTGTCTGATCTTAAAAACAAAGATCCCTAGTTTCATGGAGCTTTCTTCATTCTAGCAGAGAGAGGCAGAAAACTAATAGCAAACATAATAAATAAATAGATTAGGTGGCATGTTAGTAGGTGCCAAAGGCTATGGTTAGGTCCTGGGGCACAGCGTGCCCAGTGTCTGACGGCTTCTGCATCTTTCAAATAGTCCAGAGACCCTTGCTTATCTCCTACCTCCAAAGTCCCACCTTCAAAGACTATTAGTGAACTTGGAGAGTTCACTGGTGTATTAGTAGTTCGTTTTCACGCTGCTGGTAAAGACATACCCAAAAACTGGGAACAAAAAGAGGTTTAATTGGACTTACAGTTCCACATGGCTGGGGAGGCCTCAGAATCGCAGTGGAAGGTGAAAGGCACTTCTTCCATCGCGGCAGCAAGAGAGAAATGAGCAAGATGCAAAAGCGGAAGCCCCTGATAAACCCATCAGATCTCGTGAGACTTATTCACTATCAAGAGAATAGCACGGGAAAGACCAGCCCCCATGATTCAATTACCTCCCCCTGGGTCCCTCCCACAACACGTGGGGATTCTGGGAGATACAATCGAGTTGAGATTTGAATGGGGACACAGCCAAGCCATATCAACTGGTTACCTGACTGAGTAATTAACAAAGAAAATGTGTTCCTTTGAACTGATCTATACGACAACTAAATATACAACAAATGCTGATGGCAGTTGGGGCTGTCAGTTAAAAAGTGTAAAGGTTCTTGCTACACATAGTGTGTTTTCCCCAGACAATAGTCTTCACTTTGAGAATAAGTGTCAAGACAGGTAATTTAAACAGAAAGCCATGCTTTTTTTCACCAATAATGTGATTTTTTAAATAAAAGAAAGAATTATATAGAAATATATACATTTTGAAAATTCTGTCACCTCAAAACCTAAAGTGGCCAAGGACAGAAGAGATGAGGAATGCAGTGATTTATGGTACTCTGCAATGACAATGGAAAACGAATTTTGAAATGCTTTCTTTTGTCAAGTGCAAGGATGCTATCAGATGTTTCCTATAATATATTTTGAGCTTCTGCTTAGGCTGTTTCAGGTAGCAAGGAACACTGTTAACAGAAGTTTATTATAAGCATATATGTGGAAGGAAATAGTAAGCACATGATTATGAAACTAGACCACACCTTGATCATGATCAAAATTAACGTTACCAATGCAGGACAGATGGACATCTGTGCCTCCAGCTGTGATACTTCAAAAAGGACACAAAATCACTAATGTAGTATTCCAACCAGAAATGCATAACCTGGGAGAATATCAGGTAATATCAAGTTGAGGGATGTTCAATAAAGTATCTGACTTGATTTCTTTAAAAATGGCAATGTTATAAAAGACATAACATTGAAAGGCTGAGCCAACGGTTCCAGATTAAAGGAGACTGAAGAGTAGCATAACCAACTCTTCACCCATTCACCTAGGACTGAGTAGTTTCCCAGGATGCAGGACTTTCAGTGCTAAAATGGAGAAGGTCTGGGAAAACAGGGTTATTCTGAATTGATGACTTGATCACCCTGCTGAGGAGACATAATCATTAAATGCAATATGTAAAACATGTGATCCTGGACTGGATCGTGGAATGGAGTGAAAAAAAAAACATGCTACAAGTACATTATTGGGATAATTCACAGAATTAGAACATCAACTTAAAAAAAGTACAGTAAAGTACACAAAACATAAAACTTACCATTTTAACTATTTGTAGATGTACAGCTCAGTAGCATTAAGTCCATTCACACTATTGTGCAACCATCATCACTATCCATCTCCAGAATGTTTTTATCTTTCCATACCTAAACTCTATACCTGTCAAATAATAACTCCCCATTTCCTCCTACTCCTAGCTCCTGGTCACCACCATTCTACTTTCTGTCTCTAGGACTTTGCCTATTCTAGGTATCTCATGTAGGTGAAATCATACAGTATTTGTCCTTTTGTATCCAGTTTATTTCACTTAGCGTAATGTTTTCAAGGTCTATTTATGTTATAGCTTGTGCCAGAATTTCATTCCTTTTTAAGGCTGAATCATTTTCCATTGTATGTATGTACCACATTTGTTTTTGTTTTTGTTTTTGTTTTGTTTTGTTTTGAGACAAAATCTCACTCTGTCATCCAGGCTGGAGTGCAGTGGCACGATCATGGCTCACTGCAAACTCCACCTCCCAGGTTCAAGTGATTCTCCTGCCTCAGCCTCTCAATCAGCTAGGATTACAGGTGCTCGCCATCACACCCGGCTAATTTTTGTATTTTTAGTAGAGATGGGGTTTCACCATGTTGGCCAGGCTGGTTTTGAACTCCTGACCTCAGGTGATCTGCCTGCCTCGGCCTCCCAAAGTGCTGGGATTACAGGCGTGAACCACTGCGCCTGGCCACATTTTGTTTATTCAGTCATCTGTTGATGAACATTTGGGTTGTTTCTACCTTTTCGCTGTTGTGAATAGTGCTGCTATGAACAATGGTGTAGAAATGTGGGGTTTAACATTGAACTATTATATCAATGTAAAATTGCCTGAATTGGAGCTGTGTACCACGACTGTGTAAGAAAATATCTAAGGAAATACATACTGAAATATTAAGAAAAAAAGTGATATATGCATCCTAGTCTCAAATGCTTCAGACAAAAATGAGAAAGAGAGAGAAAGAAATGTGGCAAAATGTTAAAAATTGCTGAATCTGGGTAAAGGGTATGAGTTCTTTGCAATATTCTTGCAACTTTTCTGTAAGTTAATTTTTTTGAGTACAAGAGAAAGGAAGCAAGGGAGAAATTTGATGTATGATATGCGGTCCTTGTGGAGAAAGAAGAATCTATGAAAAGCTGGTCCTCACAGAGCTTGCAATGTCATCAGGGTAATGGAAGATAACGCAGGATTCATCACAGCTTACTTGGGTATCTTGTCCCTATGAACAGAAGTTGGCAACTATACCTATTTCTAGTGCTCGCTCTTTCAGTTTCCAAACTACTCTTTGCTTCTGCCGCTACCAACTAATTTCTCCATCCTGTCCTCTCTTCCTCATCTTCAGCTTGCTCATAGCTTCTATTTTCTTAGGGCTTCTACTTCCTCTTCTCTGTGTGTGTGTTGGCTGCTGCTGCCATCTTCCTCCGGTCCAGGCAGCTGTTGTGGGGTCATGTGGTACACAGCGTGACAACCTTTGCATAGGAGGGCTGCAGCCATGTAACATAAGTGTCTTGCTTGGCCAGTCTAGTCCAACTAAAAGACTATGGTTGGAGCCCTAGATGTGGTGTAGGGAGTTGGTGGTGAGAAAAAGCAAAACACCAAATCTCCCCTGAGGCATTGTGACCCATGTTTGATTTACCTTGGAAATATGAGGAAAAAAATAGAAACTGTGTATATGAAAGTTCAGTAGAATTGGAGGAGACAAGATTTCATTGTAGTTTTGGAGAACATTTTAAGGTTGAGTACTGGAAAAATTCGTCTCTCTCTCCCTCCCTCACTTCATTCCTTCCTTTTTCCCCTGATTTCCTTCCACAAAAATTCATTATGTGCAAGGCATTATAATAGTTGCCACGGGGAATCTAAACTGTATAAGATGTGGTCCCTGCTACAAGAAGCTTATAATCTAGGGTAGTGCATTTTAAACTACAGGCTGCAACCCATTAGTGATTAGTAGATTGTGAAATCAAATCGGTGCATCTGACCAGCATTTAAAAAAACTGAAATTCAATAGAAAGCTCTTAGAGTCCGTCACACTTGGTCATGGTAAATACTGTTGAATGAACATTTTTATAGGTGTGTGTATGTGTACACAGGATTGTGACATAAAATGTATTTCTGCTGTGGGTTATAGAAAAAATAGTCTCAAAGCCATTGATCTAGTAGAACTTAAGCCTATAGCTTCAGTGATCATCCCAGTGCTGATGTCTATCTCCAGCCTAGAACTTCTTCCTGCTCCACACACGGCTTTTCAACTCCCAGCTGGACATCTCAAACTAAACATATCCCATATTGCCCATATCATCTTCCTCCCTAAAATGTTTCTGTTCCAGACATTGAATGTTGGTTAACGACATGCACATCTATCTGGTCATTCAGGACAGAAGACTGAGAGGTACCTAAAGTGTCTTCTTCTGTGCCTTCTCCACTCATTCTTCACATTCAGTTAGCCAATCTGCCTCCTCCCCTCCATCCTTATTAGCACTCTTTGGTTTAGGACCTGTATAATTTCTCTCCTAGTTTCTTGCCATACCTTCTTAACTGGTCTCCTTTTCTTCAGTCTTGTTTCCTAACTCCTGCCCAACAAGTCTGTGTCCTACATTTATTCCCAAGTAATCTTTTAAAAATGCTAAAATGAGTCAGGTGCAATGGCTTACACCTACAATCCCAGCACTTTGGGAGGTTGAGGCAGGAGGATCACTTGAGCCCAGGAGTTTGAGGTCAGCCTGGGCAACATAGTGAGACCCTGTCTCTACAAATAATATTTTTTTAAAAAATTACCCAGGCATGGTGGTGGTATGTGCCTGTGGTCCCAGCTATGTGTAAGGCTAAGGCAAGAGGATCGCCTAAGCCCAGGAGGGCTGTGATTGTGGCACAGCACTCTAGCCTAGGCAACAGAGTAAGACTCTGTCTCAATTTTTAAAAAAAATGTTAACATGACATTTTTTTCTGGTGAAAAACCTTTGATGGTTCCCCACTGCTTTGAGAAAAAATGTCTAATCATGAGAGCCAACATCTTGCTTGGTCTACTTTTGCTACCTTCATCAGCCTCAGTTCCTCATCCTCTCTTAGCCTTACCCCTGATTCTAGTGGTACCAACTAGCTCAGGTGCTCTCATATTTCAGTGACTTTGACTCCCACCTTGAATGTGCTTGCTTCGTTTCTTCGCCTGCGTCTAAATCTTACCCCTCTTTCCCAGCACAGCTCTAATGTCACCTGGTCTTGGGACCCTTTCTGACTGCCCTCCAAGGTTCTCCTTGCATCCTAGGCACGCTGCTGTCCTAGCTAACAGCGCGGTCATTGTTGTTTGGGTTGTCTTCATTATGACCTAGCTGCTAGCAAGGACTCTGTTTTGTTCATCTTTATAAAATAAGCAACTAGCCCAGTACTTGACATCCTAGGCACTGACCAAACATTTGTTGAAAAAATGAATGAAGATGAAATCTCTCAACAGCCCACTCCTTGATTATAATGATAGTATCATAATAATGTTAAATAATTCTTGACAATACTCTTGTTTTCAAAAGTCTTTAGAAGTAGAGGGTGACTGGTTGGCTAGATGTGCTTTGTCTCTATCAGTCCTTTTTCCACCGTCCCCTTCTCTGTCTGGTTCCGATGAGACTAAGAGAACATTGCCATCTGCTTGTAGGAAACATCCAGGAATTCTCCCACCAACAGATTCCTGTTAAAAAAACATACACACAGCCAGAAAAGACAAGAAAAGAAGACAAGAATGCAATGTGTATTGTGTTTATTTTATCTTAAACCCACTTTGTTGTTCTTATTGTTATCTGTATTGTGTTCTAGGCCTTAGGGAGAGAGGTCAGATCCTTTTGTTGCTTACTTTGGATGTAAACGTGCCTGGAAGCAGTGGGCCTGGTCCAGAGTGACTTTGAAGGAATCTTTCAGTCCAGACCCCATAATGCAGGGTCCCAAAGTCACCATATGAATTCATTTGCCCCCACAGAACTATCTCAATTTCCTCTTCACTCTAGGCACTGGGGATATAGTGACAAAGGAAATGTGGCCCCTGTCCAGAGGAGAAAGGGATCATTTGTTTTTTTCCTCTGTATATTCTTTTGTTGTCCTGGACTTTTGTTTTCTCAGTGTTTTTTTCTTGAAACAAGTGAGAGTTAGATATTTCTAAGTAATACAGCATTTTTTTTTTTTTTACAAAGGGTTCCACCTCTATGTGACCAGGCAGAGCTATTCTCTGTGTGTGTGTGTGTGTGTGTGTGTGTGTGTGTGTGTGTGTGTGTGTGTGTTTGTGTGTGTGTGAGAGAGAGAGAGAGAGATAGACCCAGTCTCACTCTGTCACCCAGGCTGGAGTGCAGTGGCGTGATCTTGGCTCACTGCAACCTCCGTCTCCTGGGCTCAAGCAATTCTTGTGCCTCAGCCTCCCTAGTAGCTGGGACTACAGGCGTGCGCCACCATGCCTGGCTAATTTTTTGAATTTTTAGTAGAGACGGGTTTTCACCATGTTGGCCAGGCTGGTCTCGAACTCCTGACTTCAAGTGATCCACCTGGCTTAGCCTCCCAAAGTGCTGGGATTACAGGCGTGAGCCACTGCGCCAGCCTGACAGAGCTATTCTTATTGCAAAAGTTTGGAGTTCAGAAATGAGAGCCCCAAGGGTCAATATATTACTTATCTGAAACAAACAGATGATGGAGGGAAAATGTTCTCTGGAATTTGCTTTTTTCATATGTAACATGGGTGTGATGTTATTTCCTTCACATGTGAACACTCACTGAGCACCCAGCAGAGAGGTGAGTACCCAGGGATGTAACACCCGCTAGATATAAGTCTTCTTCCTAGTGCATCAGAAAACAGGAGGGACACTGAGGCCAGTGTGGAGGAAGGTAGCACAGGTTCAGTGTTCCCATCACCCATGGTGATGCTGTGGTGTATGACACAGTAGGAGGCACAATGGAGGCATTTTCTTTTTTCAAATGCAATAAATGGCCTAGTTACAAGCTTGGGAATAAAGTCAATGCTGAAGCACTCTTTAAAATGTCGCTTTGGTGCTACATAATGAGATGCCTTTCTCTTCTTTGAGAAGAGGTGGAAGCCAGGGAACTATAACAGGTTTAACCATCCAATTAGTCACTTCATCTTAACAGAAAAAAATGAGTGGGTCCTTTGGGTTTTGCTGTGCTTATCTAGGTCATTTCCAGCTTCTAGTCACAGTAAATCTATTCTACACAGCTGGAACATTAGCAACATCTGGATTTCTCAAAAGGTCATGTGTGTGCATCATTAGAGCAAGACTACAAAGTATCATTTTGAATCATAATGAATATTCCACTTCCAAAAGCAAGGATGTTTTTAAGGCAGCTGCAGCAAAACTAAGGAGGCAATTTACTTGAAATTCAATTGTGATCATTTTTTGGTGATTAAAAACCTAACATTTTCCCAACAATATCTCCAATGTGCTTTCAGAAAGCCCCCCAGTGCCATGCCTTCACACAAGAACTAATACTTACTGGATTCTATAGCAACAAACAATTATTTCTAACCAGTGAGTATGTGAGGTCCTCCTGGCTGGGTCCATTCTCAGATTCAGCTGTGACCTCTAAGTTTCTGAGACATATTCCAAGAGCAAAGGGGCTTCTCCTTGGGATTTCTGCTTAGGCTGTGGGGAAATCTAATTGTAGCACCCTTTATCTGTTCCCAAGGTACTTTGCCTGAGTATTGTGCCGGCAGCAGAATACTCCTTTATTCCCAACTTCAGTCACGACATGACACCACACTCATCCTTGACACCTTGACACCCCACTGGAAAATGTCACGTCCCCTTCAAATAACTCCTCTATGTGACACATTCAAAATTTGCTCTGCTCTGACCCTTTTTAACCTATTCAATCTCAGTTCCTTTTTGCCTCTGTCATTTTCTCTCTGCCTCTATTAGATCAGTTTATTTTTATTGCCACACGAATCTTGTGGTTTCCCCACCTAGCTTATGTTAGGCCCTTTCTTCTTTTTTTTTCACCTACTCAAATATTTCCAGCCCTTCCAAAGCCCCAGATAGAATCTTTGTTTTGTTTTTGGTTTTTGTTGTTGTTTTGTTTTTAGTGTACTAATACTCATTATTCTTCTGATTCCCCAAACCCCCTTGTTATTAATAGCTGATATCCGTTCCTCATTTGTTCTTTCATTCTTGCAACAAATATTTACTAAGAACCCACTATTGGTGCTATAGTTTGGATATTTGTCCCTGCCTAACTCTCATGTTGGATTGTAATCCCCAGTGCTGGAGGCGGGACCTGGTGGGAGGTGTTTGGGTCATGTGGGCAGATCCCTTATGGATTGGTGCTGTCTTCATGACAGTGAGTGAGTTCTTATGAGATCTGGTCATTTAAAAGTGTATGGCAACTGCCCCACTCTATCTATTGCACCTGGTCCCACCATGTGAGACACCTGCTCCCTCTTCACCTTCTGCCATGATTGTGAGCTTCCTGAGGGCTCCCTGGAAGCCAAGCCGATGCCAGAACCATACTTCCTGTAAAGGCTGCAGAACCAGAAGCCAATTAAACCTCTTTTTTTCTAAATTACCTAGCCTCATGTATTTCTTTATAGCAACACAAAAACAGCCTAATACAGCTAGTGACCATTCTGGAACTCAGGATGCCATGGTAAGTAAGACAGTCTTTGCCCTCTTGGTGATTTTATTCTAGTATGGCAGACAGATAATCAGGTAGTAAGTAAATAAGTAGTATAACGGACTGAGACAAATGTTGTGAGAAAAAATTAAAAGGCAGGGTAAGGGCTAGTGCGTGACCATAGGAATAAGAGCTTTTTCCATATGGTGATAGGGAAAGGCCTCTTTGAGGAGGAGACACTTGTATTTGAGGAGAGACTTAAATTATGACAAGAAATCAACCATAAGCTGGCCGAGCGCGGCGGCTCACACCTGTAATCCCCACACTTTGGGAGGCCAAGGCAGGCGGATAACGTGAAGTCAGGAGTTCGAGACCAGCCTGGCCGACATGGTGAAACCCCATCTCTCCTAAAAATACAAAAATTAACTGGGCATGGTGGCAGGCACCTGTAATCCCAGCTACTCGGGAGTCTGAGGCAGGAGAATGGCTTGAACCAGGGAGGCGGAGGTTGCAGTGAGCTGAGATCGTGCCCTTGCACTCCAGCCTGGGTGGCTGAGTGAGAATCTGTCTCAAAAAAAAAAAAAAAAAAAAAAAAAAAAGAAAGAAAGAAAGAAAAGAAAAGAAAAGAAAAGAAAAAGAACGAAAAGAAAAGAAATCAACCATAAGCTAACCCAAGAGAAGAAAGGGAAAGGGAACAGGAAGTGAAGTCCCTGAGGCAGGAATGTTCTAGAAAGATGAGGGGTGCTCTAGGAGACCAATAAGAAGGCTAACATGGGCAGAGTGTAGTAGGAGATGAAGATGGATGGGAGGCAGAGGTGAGAACCTGCAGGGCTTTGAGGGAGAGAAGAATCAAGTGCAACTCCTTAGGCTGGGTGCGGTGGCTCATGCCTGTAATCCCAGAACTTTGGGAGGCCAAGGCAGGTGGATCACTTGAGGCCAGGAATTTGAGACCAGCCTGGCCATCATGGCAAAACCCCATCTCTACTAAAAATACAAAAATTAGCCGGGCAAAGTGGCACATGACAGTAATCCAGCTACTTGGGAGGCTGAGGCAGGAGAATTGCTTGAACCCAGGAGGCAGAGGTTGCAGTGAGCCGAGATTGTGCCACTACACTCCAGCCTGGGCAACAGAGTGAGACACTGTCTCAAAAACAAAACAAAGAGCAACTTCTTAATGTTAAGTCTAAGTGCCTGGATAGATGATGTTACCACGTCCTCATAGGGAAAGCTTGGGGAAGGAAGTGAATGCAGATTTGTATGGGGTTATTGAATCTGGAAACAAGAATTTCTTTTTGGACATGTGAAGTTTGAGAACCTTTGAGACATCCAAGTGTAGCTGTTGAGTAGACAGTGGGATATGTAAGAGTTTGAAGCTCAAGGAGCCATCAGGCTAGAGATACAACCTGGGAATTCACTTAAGCTTAGGGATGAGAATGTAAATTGAGAAGAGGCCAGAACCCCGGAGCCCACAGGCATTTAGAGGTTAGGAAGGAGGAGATAGAAGGAAACTCCAAACATGTGGCCTTTGAGGTGTCCCACATATTTGGACACATCCATGGTGTTGTGTGGCATGCCAATAGTTTCACGTGCGCCGGACTTACCATGAAAACCAAGGCTGCAAACTTCCTGAGACCACTCATATTTCTCCATGAGAGCAGGGCTAAAGGTCCAAAATGTTTTATTGGTGTGTAGTCTTGGCACAGTCCCTGTTTACCATGTATTTCTTAGAGCAAGGAGTGTACACTGCCAGGCTATTGAGGGAAGTGTGGCTTCTTCCTTTCTCAAGGACTATATCTTTGAGTTAGTTAAGAATTCTCAGACTTACTTTACTGGCAGTGAACTGATGCACAGAGAGATTAACTGATTTATGCCCAGCCCAAACTGAGTCAACAGCCAGCCCGAGGCCACACTGCAGTGTTTATTAAATTATGGACTGAGGATTGCCAGCATCTCAGCCACCTGGAGTGTTGCTTAAGAAAAAAAAAAAAAAAAAATAGGCCGGGCGCAGTGGCTCATGCCTATAATCCCAGCACTTTGGGAGGCCAAGGCGGGCGGATCATGAGGTCAGGAGATCCAGACCATCCTGGCTAAAATGGTGAAACCCCGTCTCTACTAAAAATACAAAAAAATTAGCCGGGCATGGTGGTGGACGCCTGTAGTCCCAGCTACTTGGGAGGCTGAGGCAGGAGAATGGCGTGAACCCAGGAGGCAGAGGTTGCAGTGAGCCGAGATCGTGCCACTGCACTCCAGGCTGGGCAACAGAGCGAGACTCCGTCTCAAAAAAAAAAAAAAAAAATGCTAACATATATGGGTTATCTATTAAGTGCTTTACAAATGGCAACTCTTAATCCTCAGAACAACTCCATGCAAGAGGCTTATCATCACCAATTTACAGAGGAGGAAATAGACATGAGAGAGTTCCACAGGTAGCAAAGGGGCAGATTAGTCTAGTTCCATGCTCCCAACCACAATGCCATACAGCTTGCTGAAACAGAATCTCTGGAAATGGGACACTGGAGTAGTCTGTATTTAGAAAAATTTCTGGGGGCATTTTTGTGTACTGTATATGAAATCTTGAGAACTGATGTTTCACTGGATCTCAAGTTTGTTCTTTGAAGCTCAGGAAAACCTTACTTGCTCTACTATTTTTTTTAACATCTCTAAGTATCCATGTTTAAGTAAATGTATTAGTTTCAGATTATTCTTGGTAGTATTTTGTTAAACACAGGTAACAACTTACTGCACAGTTGTCATTTCAAGAGGTAAAGCATATGATTGCACATTAAACCGGCTGGCATTGTCTAATATGTTGACAATAATTACCTAACAATTATTGACATTGTTGCATCCTACTGTCAAAAGGAATAATGTGTCTTTTTTTCCCTGTGTTCATGATTGGATACATTTGCCTACAGAGATCCATAAACAATAATGAAATAAATCAATCCTATGGCGAATGCAGTAGTATGCATGACTCCATGGTGGCAGTTTGCCTTGCTGGCTGAGAGGAGGTGGTACTCTGACACGTCTCAGCTCTGCACTCCTTAGCCGAGTAAAGATATGGCCTTTTGATGTATGGGATATCCCAGAGAGCTCAGACATTACTCTCTGCTGACCTTTGTGGATGGTCTCAAGAGCTTATGGGGTGAAAGAAATGAAGTCATAGGAGTATTTAAAAAGAAAGAAAGAAAGAAAATAAATAAGTCCAGTTCAGTTGAAAAATAGACACATGTTGAATATCCAAGGCCTTTAGATCACAAGAGATAACATTAAGCAAACTCCTTTCTGTTAACAAGAAATTGTGCTTTACTGTCACAGATCTCCACCCAGATTGCCCCTTGAATTTGCATTATTCACACAATGAGACTGGTTTCACCTGTTTGCAATTGTTTTAACTATTAGTCATCAGTTCAGAGGTTGCTTAAGCTTATTTCGCCTGCAGTTTATCTTATACACCTTTTATTTATTTATATATTTTTGAGACAGAGTCTCACTCTGTCGCCCAGGCTGGAGTGCTGTGGCACCATCTTGGGTCACTGTAACCTCCAGCTCCCAGGTTCAAGCAATTCTCCTGCCTCAGCCTCCCAAGTAGCTGGGATTATAGGTGTGTGCCACCATGCCTGGCTAATTTTTTTTTGTACTTTTTTAGTAGAGATGGGGTTTCACCACATTGGCTAGTCTGGTCTTGAGCTCCTGACCTCAGGTGATCCTCCCGCCTCAGCCTCCAAAAGTGCTGGGATAACAGGCATGAGCCACTGCACCCAGTCCTTATGCACATTTAAAAATTACACATTAGAAATCAACAAAGGTGACACGCCTGTTATATATTGTCAAAGGAGAAAAAATATCTAAAAACAATTTGGAAGAGAAGTGAGGCCATTACACCAGGGAGAACTAAAATCTTAGTCTTTTTTATGAAAAGAAAGAAAGATAAATAAATGGGGTGGAGGATGGGTTATCAGGTTTAGAAAAAAGAAAGAAAGAAAAATACAAGATGCCCAATTAAGTTTGAATTTCAGATAAACAACAAATAATTTCTTAGTTAAGTATGTCCCTTGCATGTCTGAGATATACTTATGGTGAAAAATTATTTACTATTTATCTGAAATTCAAATTTAAGTGAGTGTCCTGTATTCTCTCTGGCAACCCTGCTTAAGTAGTGCCTTTTTAATCTAAGTTTGAAAAAAATCCTTTTAGAAAACAGATGTCTTCAGGAAACTGGGTCATGGATTCAACAGCATAAATACTTGCTAATTATGTTGCACAGTGTCATGGGATTACATATTTATTAAATATAAATAAACTAGCAATAATAGTGACTGAAACTTACTTTGATTTGAAAACCCATCCATTTTATTTATCTTTTTTTTTTTTTTTTTTGAGACAGAGTTTTGCTCTGTCTCCCAGGCTGGGGTGCAGTGGCACGATCTCAGCTCACTGCAACCTCCACCTCCCAGACTCATGAGATTCTCCTGCCTCAGCCTCCGAGTAGCTGGGATTACAGGTGCCATCACCACACCTGGCTAATTTTTGTATTTTTAGTAGAGACGGGGTTTCACCATGTCGGCCAGGCTGGTCTTGAACTCCTGACCTCAGGTGATCCAACACTTGAGATAAACTGAGTGGGCTTCTGCTCCCTGCAACAAAAGGAGCCTGATTACTACAGATCTGCATCTTCAGGTAAATAAAATAACTCAGATTCTCAAGTTGGAATCTTTACCATCCTGATTTGAGAAGCAATAAAGAATCAAATCACCAGACAATATGTACTCGCAGTTATCAAATACTGCCTTTACAGAGCTATTAGTTGTCTTAGGGAAACAAGGCAAAAAAATCATTAAGTGGGTGAAATGTTTGCATTTCTCTTCACATCTGCAGCAAAGAGCTGACACTAGTTTAAAACCTACAGACTGTGGAACAAACTGCTTTCTGGTCTGAGTATTATGGGTTATTCAGCCATTAGCAACATTGCTTTTTCTTTTCTTTTTTTTTTAACTTTACAAGAAATTTAAATAAAACTTTCTTTACCCTGAGTGGATTTCACGTTTTGGTCAACCCTGGCCTTTTACTACCTACGTAGACCTCAAAGAGGGGCAATTAATTTCAAGTGTCTTAGGAGGAAATAAGTTCTCACAATTATGTTTTGAAAGTGTTTTTGAAATTATCCATGGTATATTAAGGGAGATTTATCTGCTGGCTGATGGAAATTTAAACCTAGCATTCAAGAGAGAGGTTAGGACTATAGGTATAGAGACTTGGAAGTCATTGGCATATAGGTGATAATTAAAGCTCCAGGTAATTAAAACAAGTTGGAAGGGGGATTGTGTACAGTGAAAAGACAAGAAGACAAAGGTTACTATCTAGGGCTTTTTCCCCAAATCCACCATCATCAGATTCACTTGTGGAACCTGTTGTTCTCAGGTCCTACCCTGGACCTATTGAACCTAGAAGATTGAGGCAAGGGTGACTCCCAGGAGTCTGCATTTTGAAAAAGCATCCTAGGTGATCCTTATGCAACCCCACAGAGCCAAGGCTTTATTTGCCTCAGTCAAAAAAAGAAACATCCTGGATGGTGGCTCCTGGATGGTGGCTGCTGTTGGTTAAAGCTACAACTGCACATCTATCAGTGGTTCCTGGCACACAGGACTCAAGAACTGCAACATTCTTGAGGCCAGTGGGACCTCCAAACATCAGAAATTAGTTAAAGATACGATACTTAAATGGGATTGGTCACAGCCTTGGTTCCTTGTCCCTGCACTGCATGCTTCCATTGCCCTACCGTGAACCACTTAGGGTATACGAGGAGCATTTGTGAATTGCCATAGTGGATTCTTCCGGGGATTCCTTGGTAGGGCTTTTTCCTTGACTGAGTCACAGCAGTGGGTTGAAGGTAGAGGATCCGAGGTGGTGGCCAACTCAGAGGCTATGTAAAGTGAAAGAACATGACTCAACAATGAGTGATACATAGTCACTAAGTGCCCTGTGCCCAGCTTGGCCTTTGTACCAAGGCCTCCTCTGTGCCCTCTGCCAGTAGGGTGAGGAAGCCATAATCATACAGGCCAGAACGCAAGCACTATGAGAGATTTGGGAGCACCAGCAGGCCATAGACTTCTGAACCCAAAGTTACCTTTCTGGAGGTTGGTGAAGGGGATTGCACTGACCATTGGCCATTGGGGCTGCCTGGAAGTTCCAGAATGTGGCCCCAGAAGCACTCCAGGGGGCTGGGGAGGTATGCCCAGAGGGTTTATTTGAAGAGGGCAAGCTGTGTGCCACCAGAAAGAATCACTCTTATGCCTAACAGCTGCAACTGGCCTGGCATAGACCAGGAGGCAATGAGTCGGGTCAAACCAGTTCTAATAGCGCTTGCCTCCAGTGGTGCTTGGCAGTCAATCCTATAAGATGCTTTGATTTTTTTAACTGGTGACTATTTTGTAAAGAACTATTTTTATAATATATGGTATTTTTGCTTAAGTAATTTCATCTTCAGCTCACGATGAATTTGAAGAAGTGTCTTTCAACAGAACTGGATGTTGCTGAGGAGTGACAGGTTGCTAACATGTAGGAGTGGGGTGGAGTTTCTTGGCAGGGTGCATGTTTCTGTAGGGGATTGATTATGGGTAGCTGTGAAGGTCCTAGAATTGCTATAAATGTATATGGGGTTATTTTGAAATAAAAATGCTTATAACTTGTCTGCATTGAACAACTGGGGTGGTTAAGTGCAAGTTTACATCACTGGGATAAAATGTATATGTTCTCTCCCTTTACCTTCCCAAGGGAGCAGATGTAAATCTTACCTGAATAGTAACTTGTACTTTCCTTTAGGAGGGAGGGGTAAGCAAGCCTTGGGCAGCTTTACTGTGAGCCTTGATAATAGCTATTTCATATATTGTGAGGGTCAGCTGCTTAAAATTGTTTTGCCTTCAGAGAAAAGCACCAAAGAGAGACAATAAAGCACAAAGCGGGTGTGTGTGTGCAAGCATGCTTACGAATGTGGCAGGCATAAATGTTTATGCTTATTTCTCCTTGTTATACATGCTCATTGTAAATATTTCCAAGATCATAGAAATATAAACCCATCTTCTACAGACAAGCAGGATTAACAGCTTAAATATTCTTGAAATTTTAGATACACAATCACATGGATGATCAAGAAACTGCTTTCCATAAAAGGTTAGGGAACATACAAATCCCTGGGAAAACACATTTCCTGTGGGAGGGATGAGATAAATGCTTGTAATAAGATGTATTAACCATCCTCAGAGACAGATCCAAACAGGCAAAAATCAACAGCAAACTGGGACGCGACTGCTGGGGTAGCTAGACGTCACCCTTGTACGCACACCAGAAGCCAAGAGATTTACCGAGCTCCCAGATGCAAGCACATCCTTCCTTTCTTTAAATCCGATTTTCTTGCCATCTGTTCCTTTACTCCAGCCTTGGCTGTAAACAAAGTTTATGCACAGCGATGCGTTGCGTTGCCAGGCAGCTCTCCTCACTCCTCTGCAGCAAAGTCAGTTCTGGAGTGAAAATCTGTGGGCTTCATTATTATCCATTTTCCCTAATAATATAAATTGTGAGAGAGTAGAAATTGGTCTTATAAATTGGATTTTCAGCTTCATTTGGGGAACATGGTATGACACATACTGTCTGGTTTTGAAAATTCTGTAAGGAAACATCTAAATGAGTAGGGAGGATTTAACTCATAGAAAAAGATTTCCTCAGCCCTCAAGAACAGTAAGGACATTGTGAAGGGGGCCGTCTCAAGGGCCACAGTAAATCGGTCAAGGAGAAACTGACACAGCAGCTGCCGTGCAAAGGAACTTGCTGCCTCCAAGGTTACAATTTGACATGGGGCTGGGGACGCAGTGGGTTGGAGGCAGGAGGCGTGGAAGATGACTTAGGGATGTGTATCTAGGAAGTGAGCTGGTGGCCCTGAGAATATACTAGAAGAGTCAACCATCTGGCAGCTGTGAGGAGGGATCAGCTGACCTTTGGCCTCAAGCTATATAATATTTATCATGCACTCTTCCTGAGAGAAGCCTGGAGCAGGACACATCTTTGAATGGATTCAGTTAATCCTTTTACTGTCCTATGAGTAATCAGAGAAGTAGAGAGGAGCAAACAGAAAAAAAAAATTCCACATTTAAAGGGGTCACTGCCATGGCAAAGCAGAAAATAACATTCACTCTGCTAAGCAACAACAGGAAAAGTCAACCTTGTGATCCTTGTCCACCGATTCTCAGAGTCCAGGCAGTGGCAGAAGTGGGCAGAATTCCCTCAGAGTGTGCATGCTGATCACTATAGGGCATTGTTCATTCAGTCCCACCATGGTGGGGGAAAGGGACTTGCCTGTTTGGGGGAACCCATGGTAACAGGACAAGCTTTTGCCATTGCAGTTGGGACTGATGACATATAGGGATGATTAAGCAAAGAGGTAAGTAAAATGAGGGTTACTTGAACACAAGCACTCTGAGACCCGACAGTCAATCTGAAAACCAATGCAACTACTAAGTGACCAATGGCAGGAGCATAGACATCGTGGATATGTTGGACAAAGGGAGGACTCAAATCCAAGGCAGGACAGAGCAGGACAGATCACAAGGTCAGGAGTTCGAGACCAGCCTGGCCAATATGGTAAAACCCCATCTCTACTAAAAAATACAAAAATTAGCTAGGCACGGTGGCACGCACCTGTAGTTCCAGCTACTTGGGAGGCTGAGGCAGAAGAATTGCTTGAACCTGGGAGGCAGAGGTTGCAGTGAGCTGAGATTGCGCCACTGCACTCCAGCCTGGGCGACAGAGTGAGACTCTGTTTCAAAAAAAAAAAAAAAAAAAAAAGAGCTCCCGATGGTCAAGTCTGGGCAATTTGAGTATCTGAATAAGTGATAGTTACTGATTTTTAACCCTTTGAATAAAATAGGAATCTGTGAATCTACATTGCTAAAAAATAAATGCATAAATGGAGACGAAAGGAAAGCTCTATCTGATAATAGAAGCCTTAAGGTATCTCCTCATAAAATACTTAGGGATGACTCAGTGGAGATACCCGTGAGACACCATCTTTACCAAATACATTGAGCATGATGAGAGTCACATTTCTCGCTGTCAGAAGGGAATTATAAATACTGAAAGGGGAATGGCTAGAATAAGCCCTGTGGTATTAGACTGGAAGAAGAGGAACCAGTGTGAACTCATAGCTTTATGTAGACATTGACACAGATGTTGACATAGGTACCAATGTGTGTAGGTGTTTATGTGGGTGTGCATATGCCCTTATCTGTGGTTTTGCTTTCCTCAATTTCATTTACCTGAAGTCAACCTTGGTCCAAAAATAATACATGGACAATTCTGGAAATAAACAATTCATGAGTTTTAAATTGTGCGCCGTCCTGCTCTGTCTTGCCTAGGATTTGAATCCTCCCTTTGTCCAACATATCCACGATGTCTATGCTCCTGCCATTAGTCACTTAGTAGCTGCATTGGTTTTCAGATTGACTGTCGGGTGTCACAGTGCTTGTGTTCAAGTAACCCTCATTTTACTTACTAATAGCCCCAAAGCACAAGAGTAGCAATGCTGGCAGTTCGGATATGCCAAAGAGAAGCTATAAAGTGCTTTTAAGTGAAAAGGTGAAAGTTCTCCTTAATAAGGAAAGAGAAAATTGTATGCTGAGATTGCTAAGATCCACAGTAAGAACGAATCTTCCATCTGTGAAATTGTGAAAAAGGAAAAAGAAACTGCTAGTTTTGCTATCACACCTCAAACTGCGAAAGTTACAGCCACATTGTTTAATTAACGATGGAGAAGGCATTAAATTTGTGGTTGGAGGACATGGATAGAAGTGCGTTCTAACAGCAATTGGGTTGGGTACTATTCATGGTTTCAGGCAACTACTGGGGGTCTTGGAACACATTTCCCACAGATAAGGAGGGACTACTGTATACACACAGAGATATATATACACATACATGTATATACTCATACAAATATGTAAATAGATATATACATATATATTTCCTAGTTCTATGTGCTGTGAGGGCTGGAGGGAAAAATACCTAGTAGCAATGAGCATCCCTAGCTTGCAGGGTGTGGCTTCTAAATATTATTCTCCATTTAAAGGAACCAGGGTTCCTTAGAGAAATGGTTGATTCTAGGGCTGAAGTACATAAAATAAAAGATGAAACAGGGACATCTTGTACTACAAAGTAAGGAAATGTCCAAAGCATGGTAGGGACATATCAAAAGGTCACAAGATCTGCCTTAAAAGAGCTCCCAATGGGCTGGGCATGGTGCCTCACGCCTGTAATCCCAGCACTTTGGGAGGCTGAGGCAGGCGGATCACGAGGTCAGGAGTTCGAGACCAGCCTGGCCAATATGGTAAAACCCCATCTCTACTAAAAAATACAAAAATTAGCTAGGCATGGTGGCACACACCTGTAGTTCCAGCTACTTGGGAGGCTGAGGCAGAAGAATTGCTTGAACCTGGGAGGCAGAGGTTGCAGTGAGCTGAGATTGCGCCACTGCACTCCAGCCTGGGCGACAGAGTGAGACTCTGTTTCAAAAAAAAAAAAAAAAAAAAAGAGCTCCCGATGGTCAGGTCTGGGCAATTTGAGTATCTGAATAAGTGATAGTTACTGATTTTTAACCCTTTGAATAAAATAGGAATCTATGAATCTACATTGCTAAAAAATAAATGCATAAATGGAGACGAAAGGAAAGCTCTATCTGATAATAGAAGCCTTAAGGTATCTCCTCATAAAATACTTAGGGATGACTCAGTGGAGATACCCGTGAGACATCATCTTTACCAAAACCAGCGATAGGACAATTCGGCATCGTATGCCTCCTGATAGATGCACTGAGAAGAGTAAGGCATTGCTTCTGCGGTGTTCTTGCTACAAACGCATAAATCACGAGGAAACATCAGACACACCCACATTGCGGGACATTCTACAAAGTACGTACTTTAAAAAAATGTCAAGGTCGTGAAAGAGAAAGAAAAGCTGAGCAATTGTTCCAAAATGAAGGAGATTAAAGAAAAATTGTAACTATAAAAGGCCTGTATCTGTACAAGATATTCTTGCAACCATAGGGGAAATTTGAATGCGGTCTGTGAATTATGCGGTAAAGTTGGATCAATGTTAATGTTCTGGTTTGTTCATTGTCAACGTTAATTGATGGTTTGAATGTGTAAGAAAATGTCCTTGTTTACAGGAAATACACACTGAAAGATTAAAGGGTAAGGGGGCATCATGTCTGTAACTTTTTCTCAAGTGGTCCAGGAAAAAACGAAAACAAGTTTAATGTGTGTGTGTGTGTTTACTAGAAAGAATAAGGCAGATGTGATTCAATGGTCATAATTGGTAATCTGGGTGAGTGTCAGTGCTTGGAGTACTTGGAGCTCCAAGTACTATTTTTACAATTTTTCTATAACTTTTAAATTTCAAAAAAAAATAGGCTGGGCACGGTAGCTCACACCTGTAATCTCAGCACTTTGGGAGGCCAAGGTGGCTGAATCACCTGAGGTCGGGAGTTCGAGACCAGCCTGGCCAACATGGTGAAACCTCGTCTCTACTAAAAATACCACAATTAGCTGGGCTTGCTGGTGGGCACCTGTAACGCCAGCTACACGGGAGGCTGAAGCAGGAGAATTGCTTGAATATGGGAGGCAGAGGTTGCAGTGAGCTGAGATAGCGCCATTGCACTCCAGCCTGGGTGACAAGAGTGAAACTCCGTCTCAATGAATAAATAAATACATAAATAAAAAATAAATAAAAACAGAAAAAACTATCTACTATGGATCTCTATGTACACTGACCACAGTGAATCAAACTGAGCAGTTCAATTCAAATCAAGTCCAGTGTTTATGAAATAACAATTAAGTTGAAGGTACTATGCTGCTTTACAAGACTCAATCCCTGCCCTCGGGTTACTCACAAAGAGGGTGGTGAGAGCACAGTGAAATAGGGTAGGGTGGGAAATGGGATGGGAGTGCTAGAGAAATGACACCAATAGTAAAACTGCTGCAGACATTCAAAGGAGCCAGAAACCTTCCCGGAGGAGGTGGTGCTTGCAGAGGTCCTGGATGGGATTTGGGCAAGATTGGTGGTTCTTTTCAGCAGAGAATCACAGGATTTAGGCATTTCTGAGACTTCTGTCTCTGTTTTCTTCTCCATCAGCAAGCAGGCTGCTCTGTTTCTCACCTCCACGCTCTTGCTCCTACTGCTGCTTCTGCCTGGAATGTGGGCAGTTTGTGAGCTTGGAGGATCCATTGCATCCATTCTTCAAGACTTAGCTCATGTCTTTTGCTCTGGATTTTCTGACTGGCTCACTCCCCTCCAGAAAGAAAAGTCCTTTTCTCCCTTGTACCTCTACTATTCTTAGAGCATGTATCGCTCCACACGTGGCTCTTTATGGCACTTGTCAGCTCATCCGTGCATCCCTCCCAGCCTGCAGTCTCCTTGTCGGCTTTGTATGTATCCATCTCCAGTGTCTGGCCATAGTGGAGGCTCAATAATTGTTAAAAATAATCAAATTAACCTAAGACTTCCCCAAACTGTATTTCTTCCCTTTCTTTCCATTTTTACTCCTAGGCTAACTAAAGGTTTCCTTCCTTCCTTCCTTCTTTCTCTCCGTCTCTCTTTCCTTCCTTCCTTCCTTCCTTCCTCCCTTCCCTCCCTCCCTCTGTCCCTCTTTCTTTCTTTCTTTCTTTTTCTTTCTTCTTTCTTTTTTTTTTGACATGAAGTCTTGCTCTGTTGCCCAGACTGGCGTACAATGGCATGATCTGGGCTCACTGCAAACTCCGCCTCCCAGGTTCAAGCGATTCTCCTGTCTCAGCCTCCCAAGTAGCTGCGACTACAGGCGCCCACCATCATGCCCGGCTAATTTTTGTATTTTTAGTAGAGACCAGGTTTTGCTGTGTTGGCCAGTTTGGTCTTGAACTCCTGGCCCCAGGTGATCTGCCAGCCTCAGCCTCCCAAAGTGCTGGGATTACAGGCATAAGCCACGGCGCCCAGCCTCTAAAGGTTTTCTTTATTCAATAAAATTGAATGAAGTACATGGACTTTTAAATTTCCAGCAGTGTGAATCTAAATTTAGGGAAGAATATTTTCTTCTCTACCCTGAGACCATCAGTGAAGGTAGAGGGAGAGATGGACTAGCATGTCCAGCATGTTAGTAATAGCAACAAGATCTGCCACATCAGTGTCTTACATTCTTGGTTTATTAAGGATCCAGTGACTAACCCACATAGAAATATGCGAGCTACTCTTTGGAGTTACAGTAGGGGAGACACCATAATGACCACAGCTGAGCATAATATTTCCCAAACAAAATTATGTTAACCACTGGTGCTTGGGAGCTTCTTACATCAAAGCAGGATATTTATATAAGGCCAACCAACCTCCTATCCACATAATATTATTATTATAGTAATAATTATCGATTGTCAACATTCCTATAAGCACCCTTCATCCAGGCACTCTAAGCACTCAACAAATGTCACAAACTCTGTGTGCATAGATGCCACCTGACCCGTCTGTGGAATGAGGCAGCATGTGGGGGCAGAAACAGCTGCTACCCCTGAGCCTTGCCCTATTATTGAGGCTCCAGTTACAAAGCCAAATGCCTCCTCCCCTTCCTTCTCCATGGTAATTGCAGTCTGAGGCTTGAAAGAACATCTTTTGTGAGTCAATTTATTTTCCATCTCTTAATATACACCATGTATGAGATTGCTGTCTGCTTAGGAGCAGTAAGCCATCAATCTGATGAAGAATGCTGAGGGATTTCTAAGTCGAAAAGTTTCTCCTTGCTGTAGCTAACAAGTAAGTGATAAAGCTTTCCTTTGTCTTCTGTCTTCAGCAAATTTTAAACATTTGTTCCTGCCGAGTGTTGCTTTACCCTTGAGAGAGCGCCTCCTCACCCCATAGGCAAGGTGGCAGCTGTTGGAAGAGTTTTCAACACCAGATTATTTTAAGGCATTTGTAAAGAGGGTGAAAACTAACTCTAGCGAAAAAAAGAAAAACCCTTAAAATAAACTTTTAGAAATAAATCAGAATAACATTCAAGCCCTGCAGCACAGCTGGCTCCTCCAAAACCTAGAATTTTACTTGTTATGCAGAAGCATTTGCAAAATTCCATCCTGAAAACCATGTTATGGGCCATTCTTAAAAAAGTATAATACCAATCATTTTCATATGCTATTCAGCAGAGTGACATCTGACCAATAGCAGGACAGCAAAAAGACTACTGTAATTACAGTTCCTGGTTTCAGCAACTTCACTCTGAGATGATAAAACAAAAAAGCTCATTGGCGTATGTTGCATAATTTCTAAGTGTGTACTTAGTAGTAAATATCAGCTTGATTCCACAGTTTGTTGACATGGCCTTAAGGCAAATTTTAAAACAAAACAGTTTTCATTTCTACACATAATAGAGTACAGCATATTTCTCTGTCTTATACTACCATTCACTGGCACTGTGTCACATGATTGAGCAAAAGTAAATGAAGATGCTTACAACTATCACTGCTATATGTGCAGAGTCATTCACCATCAGTCCAGCCTCATGAAGCCCATAAGAAGAGGGTAGTGCTTCTTACCCTCCATTGACAGATGAAGGCCCACAGATGATGCATGGCAGCCAGTCCTGCAGCAGGATTCTCATAGTCCTAAATTTAGCCCATCAAGTCATGACATCTCTCCCGGTTGGGGATTATGGCTTTAAAAATGATTGTTCATGCAGCAAATCGTTATGATAAACAATCTAATAATTCATGATGAAGGAACTAGAAATTCAGGCTAGCAACAAGTGTGTGACAGCTTGAATTTTCACCAGCTGTATTCCTTGGCCTCTGGCCAGGATGCCATCTGACCTTTAAGCTAACCAAGCACGTGGGTATTGCTTATCAGCACTCAGAACCAAAAAATTGCTGTGGTATTTTAGAGATAGAGAATTCTATTAGAGAGGGAAAAGGGTGAAGAAAATAAAGAGGACACATGTTTTGAAATGGACTTATTTCTTCTTAGAAAAGGCTCTGAGGGTGAAAAGCATCAATACTATTAATCGCATATTTGTTGAGTACTTAATTATGAGTCTATCCCTGTATATAGATTCTGTGGAGAGTCAGAAAAGGTTAAGATATAGTTTTTAAGCCCAAAGATGTTCTATGTAGTTGTGGAGAATATGAACACGGAAGATGCAGTCTGAACGGCTGGCAAACTTTGGCCTATGGTTCAAATCCAGCTGGCCACCTGTTTTTGTTGCAGATCATGGGCTAAGAATAGTTTATTTTTAAATGGTTGGAAAAAATAAAAAGAAGAACACATTTTATGACATGTGAAAATTACATGAAATTCAAATTTCAATGTCCGTAAATAAGATTTTATTGGCGCACAGCCACATTCACTGATTTAGTGATTGTCTGTGGCCGCTTTCATGCTACAGTGGGCAGCAGAGTGGAATAACTGTGACAGAGATGATATGGGCCACAAAACCTAAAATATTTACAATCGATTCCTTTACAGCAAAAGTTTGCTGACCCTTGAGTTAGGTAATACTCTAATGGTGCTAAGGGGGGTGATTTCGAGCCAGTTGAAGAACCAGAGGACGACCACAAAGGAAGAAATGACTTTGAGTGAGAATAAAGCTTCAAGGCGGAAGTGCATCCAAATGGAGCTTAAAGGATAAAGACATTGAGCATCATGGTGAGGGGTGAAGGGCAGCCAGTTACGGCCTGGCAGCTTGACTCCACTGCTGAGTGCAATGTGACCTCAGTAAGTTCTTTGACTTTTCTGTATCTTAGTTTCCTCAGCTGTTGAGTGAAAATAATAATATCTACCTCCCAGGGCTGTTGTAAAGCTCACAACCAGATTTCATATGCAAAGCAGTTAGCACATTGCCTGGTATGGAGCTGGTGTATCATAAATATTAGCTGTCAATAATAGTGACTGCAATTAGTTCTCACACTTGGGTGTCTATTAATAAAAACAAGTCTACATTTCACATAAACAGTAAGCCTCTTAGGGGTTATTAGTGAATAAGCTTTTAAAATATTTCTCATAAGATGAATTTGAGCCACTGAATTCTATGAAGTTATTTAAAATGGTGTCATAAAAGAAGAATAGCACAGGAAAATATTCCCAGGGTATTCTGTGAAAAGAAAAACAAAACCATGTTATGAATAATCCCCTCAATCTAAGATATTATAGTTAGAGTGAGAACAACAACAACAAAAGCATACCCCCTGCCTGATAGGCATTGTTTTACAGCACACCACAGCATACTGTCTTATTGTGGACACTTCAATTTTATAAGCCCAGAAATACTATTTTGCCAGTGTATCCAGACTTGAAACCCTCTATGAGAATCTGTTGAAAGCTATTTCCCCCTCTCCTTGATGAATGCACACTGCAAAGGCACACACACACTTTTGCAAGTAATCTTAGGGCTTAATGGATCCCTTGAAGCCCGCCCCTGGTTTCCAGGTTAAGAAATCCTGCTCCAGTTGCTCAGTCATACTTACAAAACCCACACGATATTGATATATGAACCAGAATGCCAAATAACTAATTTATGAAGAAGAAATAATGTCAAATGGACTAAAATCCTTGCATTGGCCGATCAGCTCATTATCTTGCTATGCAAAAGCTACACAGATCGCCAAAGCACAATTAAAAGTAAGGATGGAATCATAGAGAAGGGAATTCAAGAATGGTCTTAATGGCTCTTGTCGCCAAGCTATGATAATTGATGCATCTGTCTCTGCTGTCGAGGTAACTCTTGCCAAGGATGCTGGAACAGCCAGTCCAGACTCTTTCCTGTGAACAATTCTTGATGTTTGTACTCTGTGCTTGCAGATGCAGGGAAGGCTAACTCCTTCTGTTATCACTCTTGCCAAAGAAAGTTACAGTGGAAACAGCAAGACCCCGGGTTTAGACATGCTAATTTCCTCATGCTACACCTAGGCTCTTCCATTAGGAAATGTCAGCCATATACACATTCCAGTTTAAGGCGGGCTAGTTGTGTTGATCTTTCATAATTTCCTTCTCAGAAGGGATCTTTATTTTCAACTTTAGGAGGCACCTTACTGTCCCCCACCTCTTCACTTCCTCTAGTTCATCCTGACTGCTGTGCCTACACCCTATTAACCTCAACAGAAAAGGCATCAGGTTCAAGAGGCCAAAGAAGAGACACAGAGCCAGAAATGAGATACGTGGAGGTTTTACTAGGGGGTGACATACAAGGGAGAGAGTCCAGTGGTGGACAAGATAACCCCCGGGCCCAGTAGGGGCAGGCCAGGCAGAAGAACCACAACCGCTTGCAAAAGGCATGCAATTTAGGTAGTGTTTTCACTCAGCACCCTTTCCCTAACAATCTCCACCTGGCAACCTTCATTCAACCCAAACTTGGGGCCTCCTTCTCCTGTACAACCTGTGTTTCACGGGCCAGAACGATGGTTGGGACAGAGGCAGGCAGGGCTCAGATGCTCCTCACAGACAACAAATGAATCCTCAAGTTGGCCACACCTGTATTCTCCAGCGCAGAATACAAATTGGATGCATCTGCCATACGGGGTCATTCTAAGGGTGTGCTTAAGTTATTGCTTTCAGGTGTCTTTACCCTACACGGACCACAAAAGGAAGAAAAGAATCCCTGGTGTTTCCTCCCTTCTCCCCTTCTTTCTATCCTCCCCTTCCCTCCTTTTATTTTAAGGCATTTCAAATACCTTTTATTTTGAAATAGTGTAAGACATAAGTTTTTATTTTGTTTTGTTTTGTTGTTTGTTTGTTTTTTGAGATGGAGTTTTGCTCTTGTTGCCCAGGATGGAATGCAGTGGCGCAATCTCGGCTCACTGCAACCTCCGCCTCCTGGGGTTCAAGCTATTCTCCTGCCTCAGCATCCTGAGTAGCTGGGATTACAGGTGCCTGCCACCATGCCTGGCTAATTTTTGTATTTTTAGTAGAGACAGGGTTTCACCATGCTGGCCAGGCTGGTCTTGAACTCCTGACCTCAGGTGATCCACCCACCTTGGCCTCCCAAAGTACTGGGATTACAGGTGTGAGCCACAGCCCCCAACCAAGACATAAATTTTAGCCGGACGCAGTGGCTCATGTCTGTAATCCCAGCGCTTTGGGAGGCCGAGGTGGGCGGATCACGAGGTCAGGAGATCGAGACCATCCTGGCTAACACAGCAAAACCCCGTCTCTACTAAAAATACAAAAAATTAGCGGGTGTGGTGGCGGGCGCCTGTAGTCCCGGCTACTCGGGAGGCTGGGGCTGGAGAATGGCGTGAACCTGGGAGGCGGAGCTTGCACTGAGCCGAGATTGCGCAGCTGCACTCCAGCCTGGGCGACAGAGCAAGACTGTCTTAGAAAAAAAAAAAAAAAAAAGACATAAATTTTAAACGTAGTAGTTTTCTTCCTTTCTCTCTTTCAAATGACTTTTATTTTAAAGAAGTTCAAGATTTACAAGAAGTCTCAAAAATAGTATAGAAGGTTCTCATGTACACTTCACCCAGCTTCCCCCAGTGAAAATAATTCACATAACATAGTGCAGGTTCAAAACCACATTACAGTGGTATGATATTCACTCAGGTACAGACGATACAGATTTTACTAGTTTTCACATTCACTGTGTGTGTGTGTGGGGGCATTCTATGATATTTTAGCACATGTGTAGAATGAGAAACCAACTCCACAATCAAGACATGAAACTTCCTCATGTTATTCCTGAATAACCAGTGATTTTCTTTATATACTCTATTCTCAGTGTTATAATAGAAATCTTAGTTCAGCCAACTTATACGAATAAACTCAGGGACAATAGTTGTGACATCATCAACCTCCTTCTCTGGTAAACATATTTAATATTACCAAGGCCTCGATGGCAGTTTTTAGACTCTAATTATCTTAGGCTTTATTTCTGAATCTCAGTATTTTTTGTCACTTGGCAAGAAATTTTAAATGTATATTCTTGCTATTGTGTAAAAACAGTCTAGAAAGCTTTTCGAAAAGGTTAGGATTTCTGACCACAGTTTCTTTAACTATGGAGGCATAATTAAAAAAAAACATTCTAAGGTAAATTTGTGCGACGTGTTGGTGTATACCTTCTTTAACCCTACACTTGTTTTGCTTCTTCCCTAAACTTGTTTCCTCTGGCCTCTGAGGTTTTCTATGTACATGTCCTCTGTACTAACTTTTCATCTTAATGAGTTTCATGTGGACACATTTGGGACCAATATACTCTTACGGAAAATACCACCTGAGGTTGCACTCTTGTGAAATCTATTTTTGAGGAGTTCAGTTTCCCGGCAAATCTTCTGAGCTGTATACTGTTGTTTGCCTCAGAGTTTACACAAATACCTTTGCATGACCATTCCCTGAGATAGTTAAAAATCAAATGGTTGTTGGAGTCAACTTGATGAGCTAAGTGTTTTAAATAAATAGATAATGACACATGTGTATATTGAGTATACATGTCATAAATGACTACTCAAGGTAACTGTAGAGAATAAAAGTGACATTCAACTCAGGAAAACATAGCTGAAACATTCTCAGTGACCTCATTGAATCTTAGAGTAAAAAAACTGGAAGTGGATCAAAGATTAAAGGATACTTGTCTTATGTCTTAGGGAGGAGAAGTAACCCACAATTGCTGGTGGGAATGTAAAATGATAAAGCCACTTTGGAAAGCAGTTTGGCAGTTTACAGTTGAAAGTTAAATATGAAATGATCTGGCAATTCCACTCCCAAATTTCCTAAGAGAAATGAAAACATATGACCACACAGAGACTAACATGAGAATGTTCATAGCAGTGTTATTCATAATCACCAGAAGCTGGAAACAGCCTAAATGTCCATCAGCTGGTAAATCAGTACATAAAATATGCTATACTCATATGATGGAATACTACTCAGAAATGGAAAAGGAATAAACTACTGGCACATGCTATGTTATGGATGAACCTCAAAAACATTACACCCAGTAAAATAAGTTAGACACAAGAGACCACATATTGTATGATTCCATTTGCATGAAATATCTGGAAAAGGCACATTTATAAGACAGGCAGTGATAGTGATTGCCTGGGGCTAGGGATGGGAATAGGGATGAGGGCATATGGGATCTTACAGGG